>NC_000003.12:171887392-172038907 GCF_000001405.40 Homo sapiens | reverse complement strand
GCGTTTCTCAGGGACAAAGACTGTTTCTTACTTTTATCTTTATATCCGTAAAATATAGCACAGTGCAAGGACCACAATAGGACTCATTAAATAACTGTTGAGTTCATATTAAGTCAAATGTAATGTATTTCTGTTGTACAGGCTCTAAGAGGTTAACAGACTGCATCCCATGCCACCCCTCAGATTATTCAGGAGACAAGAGAGCAAAAGTTAGCCTAGAGAAGCCCCTTCCATCCATAGCTGTCCAGGTATTCTGAATAGCTACATTCAGCCTCAACTATTAAGCTACAAAGGAGCATTCAGGGAGTCACTAGAGACAATGTATTACTTTTGTTAACCTAAAAAATAATAATAGCAGTACATAATACTCTGTTAAAGTCTAAAGAACACTAAGAAATAGCTCCTTCCTTCCCTTGTTCATTTGCCATTCTTTTGGGGAGATTTTAGCCTTTTTTTTTTTTTTTTGGAGGCAATGGTGAGTCCAGAGAAATGGGGACCTCTCTCCTAAATGGCTTATTTACTGTGGAGCTCCTCAAAGGGGAACTTGAAGCCATCTTTCTATAACATAACTCCAATTCTAGGTCATAGTCCTGCATGAGAAGCCGGGGCGGGGGGTAGGCAGTAGTTCCTTAGTGCCAATAGGGTACAATCCAATAGATCCCATTTGAGTCCAAATGCCTTCTCTGGCTCCAGACTCTTTGGCTTCCTCAGGTGCCATGCCTTCAGCCCAGCTGATCACTCATGGCTCCAGAAGGTACCTGTGTCCCTTTGTACGTGCCTTCCCTCTGAAACATACTTCTTCTTCCCTATTTAAGATCATTTACTCATCCTTGATCTCCGGCTAAAACCACTCCCTCCTTTCCTCCCTACAGTCTCATACCTCTTTTCCCCACAATCTTATAATCCTTGTCAGTTCTCACATTGCTCTGAAGTTAGTCTTTTTTTTTTTTTTTTTTTTCTGAGGCTAGAGTGCAGTAGCATGATCGTAGCTCACTGCGTCTTCAAGCTCCTAGGCTCAAGCGAGTCTCCCACCTCAGCCTCCCAAGTAGCTGGGACTACTAGTGTGTGCCATCACGCCTGGCTAATTTTTTTTTAATGTTTCTTTTTTTTTTTTCATTTTTGTTGCCCAGGCTGGTCTCAGACTCCTGAGCTCAAGCAATCCTCCTGCCCCAGCTCCCAAAGTGCTGGGGTTATAGGCATGAGCCACTGTGCCCAGCCTGAAGTTAGTTATACTTTATCTCTTCCACTTGACTGAGTTTTGTTCATGTTTGTATCCCTAGTATCAACCTAGAATTCTGCTTTGAATATAAGACCCCTTTGTGTTTGGTGAATGAATTAATTGTAAAGTATGTGGAAGAATCTGAATGACTAGGTAAGTGAGCAAACTTCAGAATGTGAAAGGTCAAATTCAGGTTGAAGGACAAGCTTGGCAAAGGAGGTAAAAGTAGGCAAGGGAAGTTTGGAGGACAAAGTTATTTATTCCTGTTTCTTCCACTAGACTGAATTTTTTCTTATTAAGAAGAAAAAGTTTCAATTTTCATATAATGCTTTATAATTTCACATGCATGTTCATATATATGATCTCAGTGTTTCATTCATCTTCTTTGCCCTAACACCTAACACCAGTTTTGGCACAGAAAAAAAGCCCATTAAATGTTTGCAAAATGAGAGGAAGTATGGTACACTGGAGAGAGCATAGAACATAATGAGAGAAAAGGAGTGATGTTGGGCATAAAGTTCTCTGAACCTGAATTTTCTTATTTGTTAAATTGTGATCTTTAATAAACCTTCTGGTCAAGGTTGTTGTGAGGATTAAAAAACTCAAGCACCTGGTACTCAGTAAATAAATATTGGTTACTCCTTGAATGAATGAATGAATGAATGAATGAGTAAATGAATTAATAAAGATATATTTCTTAAAAGGATTAATAGGACAGAATTGGAAGCTTCAGAGAAAAAGGTGGAATTTGTGATAGAGGGCTCTCACCTATACTTTGAGGGATTTAGATTTAATACAGTGAGAACACTGTGGGATTATTGAGGCATGAAGTAATTAAAATAGGTTTCAAGGTTATCTTAGCAGCAGGATATAGAACAAGGCTCATGTCAGAGATGCATGCCCTGAACCTACTTTGGAAATGATAAGACTTACACCAGAGTCATGGTTCTGGGAATAGGAAGAAGGACCTCAACCTAAGGCAATGAGTATGACTATCTGGTGTTGACAACCTGCATAATCTGCTGCTCTAGGTCCCAAATTATGAAACTATAGTCCTGGCTAAAACTTTGCTCCAAAAGCACCTTAAGATTTGCTCAAATACAAAAGTTAACATCCAAATGAAGATGCCTAGAAGTTAAGGCCTATAACAAAATATAGAGACTCTTAAACCCTTCTACCACCTATGCAATGTAGGCTGAGTCCAAATTTTAAAAAGATTCTTAGTCATACTTCTTCATCTCAAATAATTTATATCAAAAAATGCAACAGTAGTACACAGGAAAGAATGAAAGTATTGAAGCTAGCATTGAAAAGGTCTCAAACAATTCAACTTTTCTGAACACTTCTGTAGTCTAAAATGTTTAAATTTGAAACTCTCTCTCAAAGATCACTATGACTAGTAACACGTAATATCTACAAGACCCAGCTGCATTCTCAGTTTCAATGTCCTTCTTCTCCCTATAGCTCGAGTTGCTAGGTTCCCAAGGCAGGCTCAGTTCTGCCCCTACTCTTAAAAACTGCTCTTGACCACCAGGCATGGTGGCTCATGCCTGTAATCTCAGCACTTTGGGAGGCTGAGGCAGGCGGATCACCTGAGGTCAGGAGTTCGAGATTAGCCTGGCCAGCATGGTGAAACACAATCTCTACTTAAAAAAAAAAAAAAATACAAAAATTAGCCTGGTATGATGGCAGACACCTGTAATCCCAGCTATTTGGGAGGCTGAGGCAGGAGAATCATTTGAGCCCAGGAGGCAGAGGTTGCAGTGAGCTGAGATGGCACCATTGCACTCCAGCCTGGGCAACAAGAGCAAACTTCCATCTCAAAAATAATAATAATAATAATAATACTCTTGACCCTAAATAGAAGGCATTAACTCTTTGCATCTACTACTTATTCTAATGTCCTGAGCCATATCTGACACCAGCTTCAATATGAACACTGACCAAAAGCCAATTCATCTTGTTTTAAAAGCAACACTGCCACTTCAGTGAAGCACATTTCTCCAACAACTTCACCAGTCACATCTGTGGTTTTGCCGCCTTTTCTATTGTTCAAGGCAAGATAAGCAAATTTTAGCTCAATGTTTTATTTAAAGAAAAACACATTTTAAACAAAGAGATCTGTCCCACAGTTACCAGAACTATTCAGGTAGAAGCTGAATGATTGACAGGGCTCTTAAAAATCACAGGTTGATAGACTCCCACTGTCCCTCCCAAAGCAGAAATCTTGGCTCCCATGTCAATTACAACTAAGGACCCAGCCTCAGTCTGAACAGCACCAGGGAAAGGAAAACCTATTCCTGTGGAGACAGCTTATTATCAACAACTGTAGTTCTAACCCAGGTCTTCTGAAACTGCCTCCTTACAACTTTCTCCCACTGGTTTTATTTCTGCCCTCTGGAGGCAGACAAAATAACAACACTCACCTTCCACATGACCTCCCTTCCAATGAACTGAACATGCCTGGCATTTGCTCCCTAGAGATTCTCTTTTCCTGAATAAACGTCCCTGACATGCCGAACTCGTCAAAGATCTCTCTTCATCCTTCTTTCCTACCACCTCTGAGGGCCTACCTGTTCAGCATCTCTGAAAGTTTGTGATATGGTTTGGATCTGTGTCCCCACCCAAATCTCATGTTGAAATGTAATCCCCAGTGCTGGAGGTGGGTCCTGGTAGGAGGTGATTGGCTCATGGGGGCGGAGTTCTCATGAATGGTTTAGCACCGTCCCCCCTTGGTACTGCATAGTGAGTGAATTCTCAGGAGATCTGGTTGCACCTTCCCCCTCTCTCTAGGTCCTGCTTCAGCCGTGTAGGACGCCTGCTCCTGCTTTACCTTCTGCCATGATTAAAAGCTCCCCGAGGCTTCCCCAGAAGCAGATGCCACTAGGCTTTCTGTACAGCCTGAGGAACTGTGAGCCAATTAAACCTCTTTTCTTTATAAATTACCCAGTCTCAGGCATTTCTTTATAGCAGTACGAGAACTGACTGATACAGTTGGGTATCCAGATTTCACTCATAATATTTCAGGCATGAAAAGACTACAGCTACAAAGAGTGTTATCTTTTCCTGCTTCAGTTTGGACAAAACGCTTCTACTATTACGGTTTAATATTTTGTTAAATTTCTTAGCAGCCTCCTCATTCTGTTAGCTCATGCTTCTTCTTCCATGAGAAGCTGGGCATAAATTAGATATGCAATTGATTTAATCTTAACTGACATTAATTAGTTAACTGGTTGAATATATAATTTTATTAAATTTTATTTGTAAGTTTCATTTTTACATCCCAGCCAACGAGTACTTTTTGGACATTGAGTCTATTATCAAGCAACCTTCCACAGTTTTGTGATATTGATGAGTATGAAGCATGCTTTCCATGTTGCCATTTAAGTCATTAACAAAAACATAAAACAAGACAAGGACAAAGACATATCACCAGTAATTTTTCTCTTGTGGCAAAGTTATTTAAAAAGCTATGAATCTGGGTGCGGTGGCTCATGCCTGTAATCCCAGCACTTTGGGAGGCCAAGGTGCGTGGATCACCTGAGGCCAGGAGTTCGAGACCAGCCTGGCCAACATGGTGAAACTCCATCTCTACTAAAAAATACAAAAATTAGCCGGGCATGGTGGCGGGCGCCTGTAATCCCAGCTACTGGGGCGGCTGAGGCAGGAGAATCACTTGAACCCAGGAGGCAGAGGTTGTAGTGAGCCAAGATGGCACCACTGCACTCCAGCCTGGGCGACAGAGCGAGACTGCATCTCAAAAAAAAAAAAAAAAAAAAAAAAAAATCTGTCTATCACACTGAATTACCTTAAGCCGTACCACCGCAGGGCAGGATTGGATCTTACTTTCCTCACAGTCATTGTCACCACTCTTGCCCACTGCTATAGTTTGGATGTTTGTCCCCCAAACCTCACATTGAAATTTGATCACCAATGTTGGAGATGGGTCCTAATGGGAGGTGTTTGTGTCATGGAGACAGATCCCTCATGAATGGCTTGGTGTCCTCCTCGAATAATGAGCAAGTTCTTACTCTATTAGTTCCTATAGGAGCTGGTTGTTAAGAAGAGCCTGGCACTTCCCCCGTCTCTCTCTTGCTTCCTCTCTTGCCATGTGATCTCTGTACCTCTGCACACACCAACTCCTCTTAGCCTTTGGTCATGAGTAGAAGCAGCCTGAGCCCCTTGCCAGATGCATATGGTAGTGCAACATTTTTTGTATAGCCTGAAGAACTATGAGCCAAATAAACCTCTCTTCTTAATAAATTATCCAGCCTCAAGTATTCCTTTATAGTGACACAAATGGACCAAGACACACACCCTCTTACCTGATTTATTCCTGCTATGGTTCGAAGGTCTCCCCCAAGCTTCATGTGTTGGAAACTTAATCCCAAGTGCAACAGTGTTGAGAGGTGGAACTTTTAAGAGGTGATTAGGTCATGAGGTCTTTGCTCTCATGAATAGATCAGTATCATCTATTTTATCTATCTATCTATCTATCTATCTATCTATCTATCTGAGTGGGTTCATTATCACAAACCCACTCATTAGATAGTTCAGTGAGTTCAGCCCTCTCTTGCTATTTCAAGGGCTCTCTCACTCTTCTGCCTTCTGCCAGGGATGGTGCAGCAAGAAGGCCCTCACCAGGTGTGGCCCCTCAGTCTTGGACTTCCCAGCCTCCAAAACTGTGAGTCAAATAAATTCCTGTTTATTATAAATTACCCAGTCTGTGGTATTCTGTTGTAGCAGCACAAAACAAACCAGGACAATTTTTTTGGGTCACTTTCTTTTCCTAAAAGGTCAAGACCTCTGAATGAGCCTGTAATCCCAGAACTTTGGGAGGCTGAGGTGGGTGGATCACCTGAGATCAGGAGTTGGAGACCAGTCTGGCCAACATGGCGAAACCTTGTCTCTACCAAAAATACAAAAATTAGCCAGGCGTGGTGGCACGCACCTGTAGTCCCAGCTACTCAGGAGGCTGAAGTGGGAGAATCGCTTGAACCCAGGAGGCAGAGGTTTCAGTGAGCCAAGATCACGCCACTGCACTCCAGCCTGGATGAGAGAGTGAGACTCCCTCTCAAAAAAATAAAAAATAAAAATAAAAAAATGAATGATATGTAGGTGTCTTCACAGCAGGCATGCTAAATACTATCATCCTCAAACAACTTCAGAATATGCCCTAGATAAAAATATGTGTGTAGATAGTCATACATACATGTGTCTGTCTTAGTCAATTTGGGCTTCTGTAACGGAATACCATAGACTGGGCAGTTTAAATGATAGAAATTTATTTCTAACCATCTGGAGCCTGTGAAGTCCAAGATCAAAGCACCAGCAGATCTCTTGCAAGATGAGAGCCTGACTCCTGGTTTGCAGATGGCCATCTTCTGATTGTATCCTCACAAGACATAGAGCAGAGACAGAGAAAGAAGGCTTTCTCATGTGTTTTTTACTGAGGCCACTAATCCCATGCATGAGGGCTCCACCCTCATGATCTAATTACTTCCCAAAGGCCCCACCTTCTAATATGATCACTGCTTCCACTCATGCTGGGAGAGAAAAGGGAGGTTAGGATTTCAACATACGAATTTTAACAAAACAAACATTCCGTCCATAGCAGTGTTTCTTTCACAGAAAAATGAAGCCAAAAAAGTTTTTAGCTCGGGCAGTATGGCTCAGATACAAGCCATTTTGGTCAAGGAAAGATTCTGAGATTTGACCAGAAAGTAATAAGTTGAAAACAGAGTAAACTTAACTGCAGAGACAACTGGGCCTATTCTGGTTTGTAAAGGGTAGGATGTTATATTTTAAATAGTTTCTCACCATTTGTATAGTTGCCACAATATTAGTTCTAGTTCTTGAAAGCATACCCTTTGGAATTTCACATATAATCTGTGTGTCTCAGACCTCATTAGCCGGGGGTAAAATTTTGATCACATTAACATGAAAAATATCCTTTCTTTGACTCTGGCAGCTACCATCTTTTTAGGACTTCCCATTCTCTTTGTACTCTCTCCAGTTCTTTCTATAAGTTTCCTGTGTGTTTATGACCAAGTTTTTTTTGACCTGCAGAAGCCTAAGAAGCTGTGTAAAGTAATCTACTAATCCAGCCATGGGGACTCTATAGCACCGCCCCACAAGGCCAGCACCACACTCAGACAGACTTACTTCTCCCTGTCTCTGTGATAAACTCCGTTATACTGTAACACATTAGAAAACCCTTGGCTCGGCCAGGCATGGTGGCTCATGCCTGTAATCCTAGCACTTTGGGAGGCCGAGGCAGGTGGATCACGAGGTCAAGAGATCGAGACCATCCTGGCCAACATGGTGAAATCTTGTCTCTACTAAAAATAGAAAAATTAGCTGGGTGTGGTAGCACGCACCTGTAGTCCCAGCTACTTGGGAGGCTGAGGCAGGAGAATGGTGTGAACCTGGGAGGCAGAGCTTGCAGTGAGCCGAGATTGTGTCACTGCACTCCAGCCTGGCAACAAAGCGAGACTGTCTCAGAAAGAAAGAGAGAGAGAGCGAGGAAAGAAGGAAAGAAAAGAAAGAAAGAAAGAAAGAAAGAAAGAAAGAAAGAAAGAAAGAAAGAAAGAAAGAAAGAAAGAAAGAAAAGAAAAGAAAAGAAAAGAAAAGAAAAGAAAAGAAAACAAAAGGAAAGAAAAGAAAAGAAAAGAGAAAACCGTGGGCTCCCAATATCTCATGGTCTTTAAATAGTTGTACAAATATTTATTGAGCACCTACCCTATGCCAGACACTAATTTGTGGATATACAGTTGATCCTTGAACAATTAGGGGATCAAGAGTGCCAATCCCTGCAAAGTCAAAAATCTGAGTATAAGTTTTGACTCCCCCAAAGTGAGCTACTACTACCCTACTGTTGACTGGAAACCTTGTGAATAACATAAATGGTTGATTAACACATATTTTGTATGTTACATGTATTATATACTGTATTCTTACAATAAGGAAGCTAGAGAAAAGGACATGTTATTAAGAAAATCATAAAGAAGGAAAAATACATCTACAGTATTATTCTGTGTTTATCCATCCCATAAGTTGATGTCATCTGTTCACAGGATGAAATGGCAGGCAACCATACCTGCAGACCTCAATCTATGGTACATACTGAGCAATACAACTTTTTCTTGTAATATCATGATTTTTCTCTGCTTCTTGGGAGCACTTCCAGCATTGCTAGTGGCACTTTGCATGGGTTCCACAGTGTTATTCAAGGTTTAGAGTATTAGAGCAAACACGATGAAAAGCACGTGAGAACCACAAGAGATCACTTTTTGCTGCAATTTGCAATTTACTGGAGAGATGAACTGTCCACATGGAGATTATTAGCATCACATGACATTTTAAGTGGATACTTCCTACACTTGAGCTCACCATTATAGCAATAGGAGGAGGCTATGAAATTATTACAGTTTAATACAGTATGTACTGTAGTTCATTTACTGCAGTTGTGGTTTAATACTGTACCTTTATGTTTGTTTGCATTTCTCTCAACTGTGAATTGCACCACATATGATCTGTGTGTTTTGTGCATGTTTTGATAAATTTTAACTTTTTGTCTTAGTCCATTCTGTGTTGCTATAAAGCACCACCTGAGACTGGGTGCTTTATAAAGAAAAAAGGTCTATTTGGTTCACAATTCTGCTGCCTAACAGGCATCTGCTGAGGGCCTCAGGTTGCTTCCACTCATGCTGGCAGACAAAGGGGAGCTGACCTGTGCAGAGATCACATGGTGAAAGAGGAAGCAAGAGAAGGAAGGAGGGAAGGGGGAGGACTGAGGCTCTTTTTAATTATTTATCTTTTTGGAGATAGGGACTCACTCGGTCACCCAGGCTGGAGTGCAGTGGCACAATCATGGCTCACTGCAGCCTCTACCTCCTACGCTCAAGCAATCCTCCCACCTCAGCTTCCCTAGTAGCTTGGGACTACAGGCATGCAACCCATGCTGGCTATTTTTTCTATTTTTTGGTAGAGATGGGGTTTTGCTATGTTACTCAGGCTGGTCTTAAGCCCCTGGCCTCAAGTGATCCTCTTGCCTCAGCCTCCCAAACTGCTAGGATTACAGGTATGAGTCACCATACCCAGCCTTAGGATCTTTTTAACAACTAGGTCTAGGACAGGCACAGTGGCTCACACTTGTAATCCCAGCACTTTGGGAGGCCAAGGCAGGTGAATCACTGGAGTTCAGGAGTTCGAGAGCAGCCTGGCCAACATGATGAAACTCTGTCTCTACTAAAAATATAAAAATTAGCCAGGTGTGGTGGCGGGTGCCTGTAATCCCAGCTACTCGAGAGGCTGAGGCAGGAGAATTGCTTGAGCCCAGGAGGCGGCGGTTGCAGTAAGCTGAGATCTCTGTACTCCAGCCTGGGTGACAGAGCAAGACTCCATCTCAAAACAAAACAAAACAACAACAACAAAACCCAGGTCTCATGGGAACTAACAGAGTGAAAACTCACTCACTATAGCCCTATACCCAGGGAAGGCATTAATCTATTCATGAGTTATCTGCCCCAAGACCCAAATATCTCCTATCAGATCCCATCTCCAACATTGGTAATTAAATTTCAACGTGAAGTTTGGAGGGGTCAAACATCTAAGCTATAGCACTTCTTAAAATGAATTTGTATTTTATTGTATCAAATGATAAAACAGACCATATATATTTTATGCATGTGTGACATACTTAACTTTTGCTTAATTTTTTGATATTCCTAGGCTTCCACAGCTTATGCATATTTTCCAGATTGTCGCAAATTTCCAAAAACTTTTCCAATATATTTATTGAAAAAAATGCACAGAAGTCCATCTGTGCAGTGCAAAACTGCCGTGTTTTCAGCGGTCAGCTGTATACGTATTAGGCCCTAGAAGCTGCAAATACTTATAATAATGGTTAAATCTTCATAAAAATCATTTAAAATTGCAATGGTCATTATGTGGAACATTCCAGATGAACAACATTGAATCATCTAAGGATATTTTAAATTGTTTTATTGCCTCCTTTAAAAGGCTCTTTAAAAAAGACCAAACAAAGAGCTTAAATGGCTAATTGATATGAATTAAATATACCAACTTTTTCACTTAGTTACTATCCCATCCCAAAGACAAAAATACAGCTAAATAAAATGTTTATAAAAGTTAGACTCCCAGGTCAAGCAGGCCTAGAAAATGCTTTATTTGCCCTATATGTCAGTGAACTCTGCCCTAAAGTCAATAATCTCATTTAAAAATTAGTTGAAAAAACTGCCTATTAAACTAAATCAGGCTCCAAAATATAGCTTTCTGAAATTTAGCCAGCTATTTTGAAACTTTGTTTGTTTGTTTGTTTTTTGAGACGGAGTCTCACTCTGTCACCCAGGCTGGTGTGCAGTGGCACAATCTTGGCCCACTGCAACCTCCGCCTCGTGGGTTCAAGTGATTCTCCCGCCTCAGCCTCCTGAGTAGCTGGGATTACAGGCATGTGCCACCACGCCCAGCTAATTTTTGTATTTTTAGTAGAGACGGGTTTCACTGTATTGGCCAGGCTGGTCTTGATCTCCTGACCTCAGGTTATCCACCTGCCTCAGACTCCCAAAGTGTTGGGATTATAGGCATGAGCCGCAGTGCCCAGCCTGAAACTTTTTGTAAAATTTACATGTATACAGGAAATCTCTGTATGTAAGAGTGTCTCCCTCTTTGTATGTAAGTCACTAGAAATTTTAAGGTGCTTTTCCTGGCCATCTTTTCTTACCTGGAACTTTACCTCTGCCTTCCTTGTTTCTGCAAATAATAATGTTTAGATCTAAGCTCTGTGTCTTTGAGATGTAAATTTTCTACCTTGTTTCATCTAGGAGTCATAACTTTGGAAGTGCCAATTTAGGGTTGCCTAGCTAACAACTAGTGACAGGATCGAAGACCTGAAAGGGACGAGAAAAACTACGTGAAAACTGGCAAATGAAGAATTTTGCGTGTAATCAATTTGGCAAAAAGCTAGATCTCCTTTTGTCTGTTCTGTAAGTCTGTATGTCTGTGTGTCTATATGTGTTACGTGTGTGTGATAGTTCTCTATCAAAATGTATGAAAGAGTTCTAATTAAAGAAAAAATCAGCACTTAAGTATTTTATCAAGAAAATAGAAACTAACTTAAATGCCTTTTAGTTCATGTAATTTGGACAAATATTTGGTAAATAAGACTAGTCAAATATTGGTTTAACAAACAAAAACTGTATATTCTCATCAGCACAACGCTCATGTCTCTAACTTTAGGATCCTTGCTTTGGTGATGATTACCCAACATTCCCATGTTTTTAAAATGGTCAACAGGAGGCTACGTGTGGTGGCTTGAACCTGTAATCCCAGCACTTTGGGAGGCAGAGGCGGGCAAGTCACTTGAGGTCAGGAGTTTGAGACCAGCCTGGCCAACATGGTGAAATCCCATCTCCACTCAAAATACAAAAATTAGCCAGGCATGGTAGCCGGCGCCTGTAATCCCAGCTACTCAGGAGGCTGAAGCAGGAGGATTGCTGGAACCTAGGAAGCAGAGGCTGCAGTGAGCCAAGATCATGCCATTGTACTCCAGCCTGGGCAACAGAGGAAAACTCCGTCTAAAAAAAAAAAAAAAAAAAAAAAAAAGGTAACAGGGAAACAATGTGAGATCATGGCTAACTAGTTTTGTTCAATGTTGCATAATTTTCATGAACAGTTCAAGCATAATTGTTAAAATAAATAAATTAGATGTAAATGAGGTAAAAATTTATACTTTTTCAAGAATAATTGTTTTATAAAATATGTCTACTTAAAATGGTTTTAAGAGCTTTTTTTTTTTTGAAACAGGGTCTTACTTTGTCAACCAAGCTGGAGTGCAGTGGCACGATCTCAGCCCACTGCAGTCTCAACTTCCTAGTTTCAAGAGATCCTCCTGCCTCAACCCACCAAGTAGCTGGGACTACAGGTGTGCACCACCTTGCCTAGGTAATATTTTTTGTAGAGACGAGGTTTCACCATGTTGTCCACCCTGGTCTCGAACTCCTGAGCTCAAGCTATCCACCCACCTTGGCCTCCCAAGTAGCTGGGACTACAGGCATAAGCTGCTTCATTTAGCTTAGTTTCAGCTTCTTAAATTTTATAGAAAGACAAAACATACTTAGGTCTGTCAGTAAATATGTCCTGTTCCACACTAAAAAATTATACATAGAAGAAGCACATATTTCTAGAAACTATGAAATGGAATTAGTCTTCAGTATTCTAGGTCACAATGGCTAAGAATTAAAATTCTAATTTATATATATAATTAAAAGTACTAGAAATAAGAGAAACAATTCTAGGCCGGGCGCGTTGGTTCACGCCTGTAATCCTAGCACTTTGGGAGGCCGAGGCGGGAGGATCACGAGGTCAGGAGATTGAGACCATCCTGGCTAACACAGTGAAACCCCGTCTCTACTAAAAAATACAAAAAAATTAGCCGGGCGTGGTGGCGGGCGCCTGTAGTCCCAGCTACTGGGGACACTGAGGCAGGAGAATGGCGTGAACCCGGGAGGCAGGCAGAGCTTGCAGTGAGCCGAGATGGCGCCACTGCACTCCAGCCTGGGCGACAGAGCGAGAGTCCGTCTCAAAAAAAAAAAAAAGAAAAGAAACAATTCTATATGTAAAGTAAAGTAAGGTACATTTTGGTGAGAAAAATTGTTATAAAGACAGGAGACAGGAGGACATATTTTTGTTACAAAGTGATTCAAAATTATTTAAAAGTTGTTTCAAAATATGGATTTAAGAATGAAATAGGCTGGGCGCAGTGGCTCACACTTGTAATCCCAGCAATTTGGGAGACCGAGGTGGGTGCATCACCTGAGGTCACGAGTTTGAGAACAGCCTGGCCAACATGGCAAAACACCGTCTCTACTAAAAATACAAAAAATTAGCCGGGTGTGGTGGTGAGCACCTGTAATCCCAGCTACTAGGGAGGCTGAGGCAGGAGAATCACTTGAACCCGGGAGGCAGAGGTTGTAGTGAGGCAACATCGTGCCACTGCACTCCAGCCTGGGTGACAGAGAGAGACTCTCTGTCTAAAAAAAAAAAAAAAAAAAAAAAAAAAATGAAATAAAAACAAGGCAGGCAAGAATCAGTAGGTAGGAGAAAGAGATGTGAGGAAGGTTATTATAAGTATGAGGATATATTTTTTGGTAAAAGCATATAGTTAAAAAGAGAAATATTTTTTTCTTTTTTTGGTATAAGAGAGAATTTGTGTGGTCAAAAGGATAAGGGGAAAAGGAAAGTAAATTTTTGTCATAAGGTAGAATGATTGGCTGTTCCAATATGAGAAGGAAGTAAGTATAGGACAAAACTGAAGGTGTAAGCAAGTGATACATTTGTGGGAGATTAATCTTATCTCCTTTCTATTCCTTATGAAAGAAATTTTGTGTGTAATCAATTTGGCTAAAAGTAGAAGAAAATTGTTTTTAGGTTTTTCTAAAAATTAAGCCTTAATATGAAAAGTACACTGATGTGAAATAAAATGCTCCCGTCTTAAAACAACAAAGTTTTCCTAGAGTATTTACTCCTCTTAATAAGAAATAATAATAAAAGCTTTTTCTTTACCTTCTAAGTAATTGACCTATGAAACAAAAGATTTTGTGTTTTATCAAAGTAATTTCTTATGCCTCGTGATTTCTTTATTAGGTCTTTCATTACTTAAGAAAACTAAGCCTTGGGCCGGGCATGGTGGCTCATGCCTGTAATCCCAGTGCTTTGGGAGGACAAGGTGGGAGGATCACTTGAGGTCAGGAGTTCAAGACCAGCTTGGCCAACATAGCAAGACCCCATCTCTATTAAAAAATTAGCCAGACATGGTAGCGTATGCCTCAGCCTCCCAAATAGCTGGTACTACAGGCATGAGCCACTTCACTCAGCTGTGTTTTGGCTTCTTAAATTTTATAGAAGGACAAAATGCTACTGAGGAGGCTGAAGTGGGAGGATTGCTTGAGCCCAGAAGTTCAAAGGTGCAGTGAGCTATGATTGCATGACTGCACCCCAGCCTGGGCAACAGAGTGAGACCTTGTCTCTGAAACAACAACAATAACAACAACAGACAGTCTTGAAAGAATTAAGGTTTTTTACAGAAGGTTTTGTATGTAATCTTCTGCATTTGCCTTTGAAGCCTTTTAATTATCACTGTGGTCAAATGAATGACTGTTATTTTACAGTCACCTGTGATCCTATTTTGATCAAGTGTTTTAAACCTTTTGATATGTTTGATAAATTTCCCCAAATCAAATTCTAAAATTGTCCTTTTTTTTTTACCTCAAACTAACTTTGGGACATTTCAGAAGAGCCCCTGAAAGTAGGAAAGAGACATATTAAGCCAATTCTGTTTATGTGATATGTTAAATTATGCAGAGAGCATTGTCAAAGTAAGAAATTACGTGTACTCTTCTTTGAGTTGTATTTGCATGGTTGTGTTGTTGATATGTGCACAAAACTGAATAAAAATCTAAGAAATCTAGTATGTTATCTATTATAATTCTGGTTATTATATTAACATATTGTATGCCACAGAAATAACCAAATTTCTTGGTCAGTTGTCAATTGCATCATCATCAGATGATGGACATCATCAATTGACATCTCATCTCTGATGAGAGTTAAAAACTCTCATCAGGTTTTTAACCATGGACATTTCAAGTCTTGTTGCTTTATTCTGATGCCTTTGTGAAAACTTTTTATAAGCAACAATATTACACAGTGTTGTGTTTTCAAGGAGGTTCATGGAAAGGACGAAAATAACCCTGATAAATACAAGTTTCTGATAATTTGAAGATCATACCATGGGACGATCTCTAACACTCATATTTCTAACACTCAAATGAAGAAACTGATGAATTTATGAAACGGCTAACCAAGACCAAGCAGAACAAGAATTAATTACATGAAACTGAATGAACTGATGAAGAAGAATTATGGGTTTTTATGGCTTTGTAAATTTGAAACATTGTTGGTTCTTTTAAAGTTTTGTTTTTCAGATTTAAGAAAATTTTTTTTAAGTTATCTGTAGTTTACAGAAATTTGGTAAAGTACACTTTTGCAAATAATAATGGAAACATTTGCTTTTTCTCTCTGCATGATCTTTCCAGAATTTGGACAATATTTGTGAGTATTCTGACTTTTATGACAATAAGATTATTTGAATCAATTCAATAATAACTTGTCCTCTTCATAACGGGATACAGTCAGAAGCATTGGTTATATTACCAACACTTTCACTGGAATGTCATATTTGAGAATGTGCATAAAATGCCTGGCTTCAAGGGTTCCCACCCTTACAGTGAGTGTGTAAAAATTGCCACTTTCTGGCAGGTCAAGGAATCTTCAGATATTAGATACTGCAGGCAAAGTCTGATGTCTACCTTGGTTTGGCTTCCTAGTGCACAGCAATTTTTTTAAAGTCTAATCTGAGATTCCTTGGCAAAATTTACAGCAAAGCAAATTTAAAAAGAGCCTATATGGTTATTCTTGCTGCAGTTATATAAAATAATCAGGGCAAGTTTAATGAGACTAAACCTATTTTGCAAATACATTAGTCTTACTTTGATTGTAACTGGAGCTTATATGACAGGAGCTCCAACTTCAGACCAACCATAGAGTTCTGATGAAAAAGTTTGTCCCAAGACCTTTTCCTTAAGAAGTCTATCCTTTTATACAAGCACTGGCATTTGTAAATGCCAAAGCAATCAATTCAGAGGTAGAAGTCAATTTGTTTGCCCTTTCTATTACACCTAACAGTATGACTGGTTTTTGCTGTTTTTTACTAGAATTTCTGAGTTAACAGGTTATTCTGACCTCCAGTAGACAGAGCTTTGGGGGGAAGTTGAGAAAAACAGATAAAGTGTAGTATCAACATGACAATGAATTGCAGACTGAACAACAGTTAGACCAAGGGAATATCATGAAGTCGACACGTATTAGCTAAGGCTCCCCTCCTTCCACACACACTTCCCAGGTATTCATCAATCCCCACTACACAACAGTGAGGCATCTCTTTTAGCCCTCACCTAAGTTTACCTCCTCTATAGGCCACTTCTTCTGGATTCCTTAGATAACAAACTCTCATTAATTCACACATTCAATCATTTCACTCACTCATCATTTCTTTAAAACTCACTATGTGTCAGTGTCAGATGTGTTATAAAATCAAATAAGACACAACTCTTACCCTCTGGAGAAGATAGCAAGGTAAATTAATGGTAACATGAGGTAGGACATGTGTTACACCAGAGGCTAACAGAGTGCCCTCTGAGCAAAAAATTGATATGGCTGGGCATGTCCTAAAGATCAGCTTTTCCAATGAATACCTGTAATATATGTCTTTAAAGCTTTGACCCAAGGGAAAAAACTAATGGTTGGTAATGTAAGTGCTGTGACAGCATAGTAGAGCATATTTCAAGAGCATAAAGGGTCTTTGTGTGCCCCCACGTTATTCCATCTACATAGCTTTTGATTCTTCCCCCTATAACACTAATTGTAATAAGTACATTTCATTTTTTCTCCTCTTAGTACTCAAATTCACAAAGAGGTAAGTGACGTGTGCAGTGGCCATGAAAAGTAAGCCTCTCAGATCTTAGGAGTTGATTGACAACCCCAGCGGCCACACCTGTGGATCCACCATCACATTCTTTGAGGCCACATTTTCTCCAGGCTGCTCCCAGTGAATGACTGAGCCTGGCAGGGGTACTAGTGCAGGCTCATTCCTGTAGCGTATGAGATCCCCCTAGTTAGTTGGGTTTAAGGACCCACTGGAATCACTGTGAGATTGACCTGAGCTAAAATTTATTGATCTTCCAACCCCCATAAGACTCTACTCTGCGTGGAGGGCCATAGGGTTATTTTGGGTCTCCTGGAATAAGTGTCAGTTCAGAGCCAGTGCCAAGTAGTCCCCCTAAAAGCTGGTTATTTCATTTTCCCCAATGCACAGTTACCCTGAGGAAAGGCTGTAGGTCCCTTCAGGGAAGGCTGGAAAAAAGATTAACAGTAGTTATTTTCCATAGTATACCAGGGTTCTTCCTCTAGGGCACCTGGCCTCCCCTTTTGGGGAGTTTACAGACCTGATTCTGTGTCTGTAAACTGGCTCAAGTCTGGGAATTGATTGAGAAGCCATGAGTCTGTTTTTATGATTCATTTTATACTTTTGTTCATTGGGTCCAGAATTTATTTGCATATACAGATTAACTAAGAATTTAGTAGTTTTTCTACCCCTTTCACTTCTAAGAACACCATGATGCCATAGGTCTGCACTGGCAGACTGTTCTGATTGCTGTTTGAATCTGCTGCCAATTATGCTAACTATGCCTGCCTTACCTTTGGCAGTCGAATGCCACCACTTGGCTCCTGACACCTCAGGATCCAAATACTCTCACCACATTTAAGTTTTCCAATTGAATGGCTGCAGTTCCCATTGTAAGGTCTGGCTGACAGAGAAGAATGGTCACAGAGCTTTTAAGGATGCTGGAGCTCCTTGTCACAAATTTATTTCTCAAAGTATAGATGAAAGGCAGGTCTCTGGGCCCTCCCAGTGTGAGTGAGTAGCTTGCTGGCTCTGGTAGGACTGGTGGAGGGTGTGTGGGGGACATTTGTTCTTTGGACTCCTTCCATGTCAAGCCACAGGTTGGGGCGACTGGCTGTGTTTCTCTACCAAAGGATATAGCTCCTTTCAAGATGCCTGGGGGTGGGGAACAAATTCTCAAGAATTTCATCATGCCTTGTTGCTTGTTCTTAACCTTGCCCATACCTTTGTAAACAGACCTTGCATTAAACACGCTTCACTGCTGGAACCCTGCTGGAACCCTATGTGATATCTAATAATTCTCTAGTATCTATGGGATATAGAACAAAATTGGACTGTTTCAAAAGGTTCTTTCATATATTTACTTACCAGATTTATATTTTCTGTTTGGTGTGCTAGATCATCTTTGCTTGATAGATTTACATCTATTCTTAGGAAGTAGACTATTAATAGTGATATTGTATTGAAAACAGTTTATTTTTATTGTTGGGGATATAAAATGATGCGGATTATCATTTTAATATTATAAATTTTAATCACATTTTATACTTCTCCACATCAAATCCATTATACATAAGATACATAGACATTGTTGCTGAGTTGAGTACTTTTCTGTATGTATACTGCAACAAAAAGGTTTTTTAAGTTTTTATTTTTGAGATACATTCTAAATTTGTTTGCAGAAGTAATAAAGAAGAAAAGAAAGACTTTTCTGATTGAATCACTATCTAACACTCATTAGGCTACACATTTCCTCATAAGTATTGCTTTAGCTGCATTTAACAAGTTTTGATACAGAGTAATTTCATTTAGATATAAATATATAGGGCAGGCTACGCATGGTGGTTCAGACTTATAATCTGAGCACTTTGGGAGGCCCAGGCAGGAGGGTTGCTTGAGCCCAGGAGTTTGAGACCAGCCTGCGCAATATTGAGAGACCTTGTCTCTACATAAAATTTAAAAATTAGCTGGGTATGGTGGTCCCAGCTACTCAGGAGGCTGAGGTGGGAGGGTTGCTTGAGCCCAAGCTACAGTGAGTCTTGCACACACCAGTGTATTCCAGCCTGGGTGACAGAGCAAGACCCTGTCTCTAAATAAATAAATAAATAAATAAATAAAGCAATGTATATTTAGATACAAATATCCTCCAATTTCCATTATTATTTCTTGAGTGACACACAAATTACTAAGAAATCATATTTAAATTTCCAAAAATATGAATATATTGGTCACCTGCTATTGATTTTTAAATTTTGTGAGCTAGTACATAATCAATTTCTTTTTAATACTGAAAATGTGAGAAAATATCTACTTCTAATTACTAAGTGTGAGGTTCCAAATATGTATTAGATCAAGAGCATTGAAAGTGATGCCTTAATTTCTGTATGCTTATTTATTTCCTTTCTTTGGATTTATCAGTTCCTGAAAGAGGTAATATTAATATCTATACATCTGGAAATTTATCAACTTCTCCAGGTGGTTCTACTGATCTTTAAGAAATGTATCTTTGGAAGCTATGTAGGGAGGTACATGTAAGTTAGTTCAGGATTATTACATTTTTCCAGGTGAATTTTTCTTCTGTCTTTATGTAACTTCCCTTTTTTCTCCCTAACAATGCTTTTGTTATTTTTCTGATCGATCTAACATATTAGTAGCTAATATTTTGTTCCACTTTATTAGGAAGAAAAAAAATTCCCAAATTAGTCGTCATATTTTTTCTGTCAGGGATTTAAAAAAAAATCACTATCTTGTTTCTTGCATATCATTCCCTCATTCCGAATCTAATGTCCTTCCTAGCATTGATTTATCATACGTTTGGAGTAATAAACTATCAATCTTTGGCTAAAAATATATTTGTTTCCCCTTCACCCTTGAATTATCTATTGAATGAAATATATTTACTTCTTCTTTACTTGAAATGATGATTATTTCCCCCCAACACAGTCAAAATCTTCTGGTCTTTGTTATTGCTTTGAGCTGTTGGGGGTTTATCCTTTTGTTATTTCTGATTTTCTCTATAATTGCTTTTAAGATTTTCACTTTGTGTTCTCTGAGTTCATTAAGATCCATTTAGGCTAAAATTTATTTTTATTTATTCTACACAGGACTTTGTGTGCTTCTTGATCTGAGAATCCGTCATTTTTCAATTCTGGAAAATTCTGTTATTATCACTTCAAATATTGCCTTTCCTTCATTATCTCTATTCTCTCTGGAACTCTTTATAGACAAATGTGGGTTTTTAATCTCTCATATATTTCTTTCTCTGTGTTGCTTTCCATGAATTTTATTAAACTATTTTCCAGTTTACCAGTTCTCCCTTTAACTAAGTCTACTTTTCTGTTTAACATACTTACTGAGTTTTCACTTTTAGAGACTATCTTTCACCTCCAGAAGTTTTATTAGATTATTTTTCAAGTCTATCTATTTTTCTCATATTAACTTATTCTTTTTGAAACTTTATTGAGATATTCATATTCCCTATAATGAACCTACTTTAAAGTGTATGATTCAACAATTTTAAATACATTTACAGAGTTGTGCAACCATCACCACAATCAATTTTACAACATTTTTATTACCACAAAATGAAACTCTACACTCCTTGGCCATCACCCCCACTCCCACCCTACCCCTTCCCTGAACTACCATTAATCTACATTCTTTCCCTATATATTTGTCTATTCTGGACATATTACTTTATTTATTTTTTAATTTTTTAATAATTTCAACTTTTAGTTTAGATTAATTTCTCCCTTTTCTTAGCTCTGTCCTCCTTATTCTACTTTTAGTTATAAAAGACTGAAGAGGCTGATCTCAGGACCTCCTGCTCAGGGGCACTGGGTTCCAATGCTGACTTTTGTATTTCTTCCCAGTTCATTTTAAGCCAAACAAAATTACAGGGTAATATTGTTACATGGATATATTGTGTGACGCTGAAGTTTGGGATAGGAATGATCTACAAAAACTGTTGAATACTACGCTCACTAGTATCCAAAAGTTAGTTTTTCAACCCTTGCTGCCCTCCTTCCCATCTCTAGTAGTCCCCAGTGTCGATTGTTGTCATCTTTGTATCCATGAGTACCCAATGTTTAGCTCACACTTATAAGTGAGAACATGAGGTATTTGGTTTTCCATTCTTGTGTTAATTCACTTAGGATAATGGCCTCCAGCTGTATCCATGTTGCTGCAAAGGACAAGATTTCTTTTTTCTTTTCTTTTTTTTTTTTTGAAATGGAGTCTCTCATCCTATCATCCAGGCTGGAGTGCAGTGGCATGATCTCAGCTCACTGCAACCTCTGCCTCCCAGGTTCAAGTGATTCTCCTGCCTCAGCCTCCTGAGTAGCTGGGATTACAGGTGCGTGCCATCATACCCATTTAATTTTTGTATTTTTAGCAGAGACGGGGTTTCACCATATTGGCCAGGCTTGTCTTGAACTCCTGACCTTAAGTGATCCACCCACCTCGGCCTCCCAAAGTCCTGGGATTACAGGCCTGAGCCACTGTGCGTGGCCAAGCTTTCATTATTTTTTTATGGCTGCATAGTATTTCATGGTGTTTATGTACCACGTTTTAAAAATCCAATCTACTGTTGATAAGCACCTAGGTTGATTCCATGTCTTTGCTATTGTAGATAATCCTGCCAAGAACATATGAGTGCCTGTGTCTTTTTGGTAGAACAATTTATTTTTCTTTGGATATATACCCGGTGATGCAATTGCTGGGTTGAATGTTATTAATAGGTCCGTTTTAAGTTCTTTGAGAAATCTTCAAACTGCTTTCCACAGTGGCTGAACTAATTTATATTCCCACCAATGGTGTATAAGCATTCTCTTTTCTGTGCAGCCTCACCAGCACCTGTTGTTTTTTGACTTTTTAATAATATTCATTCTGACTGGTATGAGATAGTATCTCCTTGCGATTTTGATTTACATTTCTCTGATAATTAGTGACGCTGAGCATTTTTCTATATGTTTGTTGGCCACTTGTGTGTCTTCTTTTGAGAAGTGAATGTATCTTTGCCCAGTTTTCAGTGAGGTTGTTTTTTGCTTGTTGAATTGTTTAAGTTCCTTATAGATTCTGGCAGGAAGTGTATCTATCCCAGAATTCCTAGTAAATACATCCTAGTCTTTGATTGGCCTTGACAAGGTTACATGTCAGTTCCTCAACAAATCATGGTTGCCTGGGTAAAAGGATGTAAGAATTATTTTAAACCAATCTAGGCCTACCCTTACAGCTCAGAGTGAATCCCACCCAAACCAGTGACAAACAATAGGTGAGCTGGCCTCTCAAAGGAAATTTGGGAAAGTACTCCCAGAAGCAGAGGAACGGATGTTTGGTAACAAAGGACATTAGGTGAACAGAGAGGATGAGGAGGGCATTCTAGTAATAGATAAGCAAGGAAAAAGTGTGAGGTGAGCATGTTTATGAAAATGTAAAGAAAGACATGCAGTGGAAGGTAAAGAAAGACATTCTTGTTATAATACAGGACTCTTTTCCATGTAGAGAGCCAAACTTCTGATTTTTTTTTCTCTTTTTAAAGAGAACATATTTTGCTCTTATCCTAAAAAATGTGCTTCAGAGCCACAGTCTCTAGGATCACAACCATTTCTCACCTTCAAGTTACTGCACTGAGACTCTCCTTTTACCACTCCATGGAAATGGTCTCTGATTCCCAGTCAAGTCATCCCAGAGGTTACGAAAGGTTCAAGCACTGGAGCCTTAGTCAAGGGGGTGCAGGAACAGTAGGTCTTCTAAAACAGTTCTTCCCAAGTGGCATCCTTCTGTCTTTTTATTTTCTTTCAAGTGGCGTTTTTCGATGAAAGTTCTTGGTAGAAGCAGCGTGAAAAGAGAGCCAGTATTTTCATCATGTTTGCAATGGTGGGGAGGGGGGCAGGGGGACCTTTTAAATGAACTGACTGCCCCATCAACTAATGGTACAGTTCCAACAACTCCTAGACTTGTCTCCAGACTTCTACCATCTGAGGGTAGAACCTGGCTAACTGTGGGAGTGTTTTCACCTGCTGAGGATATAAGTATATTAAAAAATTAAGGAATAGCAAGATAGGTTCCAGAAATTGTAGGATATTTTATATATTTTCATTTAACAAATCAATGTTTTTCACACACTCACAAATATGTGTGAGTGATGAGGTAGGTAAGCCCCTGCTTTCACTGCGCCCATCCACAACCCCCTTTCAAAACTTTCCTGCCTCGACTTTGGTATCTGATGCTGCACATTCTCCTTGTTCACTCCTTCACTCTCTCTTTTCTTTGCCCTTCTTGGTCTCATTTATTGATTTCCTGCCTACCCCGTGTCAAGCACTGTGCTGGGGATGTCAGTAGTAAAACAGACACATCCCTGCTCTTCTGGGCCAACTTTCATAGTACTCAAGACTTTTAGTACATTTCAGCTTAGTTCATTTCACCTTTTCAGCCTTGCTTTCTCTGAGAAGAAAAAACAAAATTTTCGCCTATTCTATACTCACAACACAAAGTATTTCTGTGTCCTCTGGTCACCAAAATGTGTGGGGATTTCTTCCTACCAGCAACCAATCAACTAACTCCACAGAGGACATCAGCTTGGTCCCCTTTAATTCAATTCAGTTCCAACACTATATACCTGGATATAGCATCAGATGCCAAAGGTTAAAGGCTCAGTTCCTCAAGACTGTCCTCACTTCACATCAGTCACAAGCCCCAGGTTGTTTTACTTGTGTTTTTGAGCAACCAGCTAGGAACTGGGGTTCCTCAGGTTCAATTAATTTGCTAGAGCGGTTTGTGGAACTCAATGAAACACTTTATTTACACTTACGTGGTTTATTATAAAAGATGTTATAGAGGATACAAATGAAGAGAGGTATAGAACAAGGCATGTGGGGAAGTCTCATGTTTTCCCTGCAGGTACCACCCTCCAGGAACCTCCATGTGTTCAGCTATTCAGAAGCTCCCTAAACCCAGTCCATTTGGGTTTTTATGCAAGCTTCATTACTTAGGCATGATTGATCAAATTGTGGACCATTGGTGATCAACTTAATAGAGGTTGTGGAGTGGGACTGAAAGTCTTAACCCTCTAATCATGCCTTGATCTTCCCAGTGATCAGCCCCCTTCTGCAAGCTACCCAGGGGAGGCCAGTAATTAGTCAATTCATTAGCAGATAAAAAGATAAAGCACTTTGAGGAAGCCAAAGATTTTAAGATTTGTATACCAGGAAACATAGACCAAATATATATTTCATATTATCACACTTTCTTCTGTGGAGCCATTCCTCTAGCCTTGTTTCATCAATAACAAACTGCACACAGTGCTCTGAGCACACCAAGATGTTTCTTGCCTCCAGTACCCTTCCTTGCCTCAAGCTTGGTCTACTTAATAATCTCCTGTTCGGCCGGGCGTGGTGGCTCATGCCTGTAATCCCAGCACTTTGGGAGGCCAAGGCGGGCAGATCATGAGGTCAGGAGTTTAAGATCAGCCTGGCCAATATGGTGAAACCCAGTCTCTACTAAGAATATAAAAATTAGCCAGGTGTGGTGGCATGCACCTGTAGTCCCAGCTACTTGGGAGGCTGAGGCAGGAGAATCGCTTGAACCTCGGAGGCAGAGGTTGCAGTGAGCCGAGATTGTGCCACCACACTCCAGCCTGGGTGATAGAGGAAGGTTCCGTCGTAAAAAAAAAAAAAAAAAAAAAAATCTCCTGTTTATTCTTCACAACCGTCCTCTGTGAAACCTTCCCTTACCTGTCAAGATGACAATTCTTCCTCATTCTGTGCTACTTTTATGTCTTGTACATATTCTTTTGCATGCACCACACCCTAATATAATGAACCTCTGTGCTCTCAGTGATCTCTCTCACAACACTGTGCTTTCCAACGGCAGAGAACAGCTTTGCATTCACAGGCCCTAGCACAGAGCCTATTCTACCATAAATGAAGAATGGAAGTGAAATACTTGTATAGCATGGCTAACAGTAGTAACCTTTGCATAATATTTTTATTCTAATTTTATTTACTTCCTAAAATTCATGAACAAAAAGACTAATGCCTTTTTATCATCTTAAATCATTAAAGACATAAAAATGATTGAACTGGTGTATATCCAAATAATTCTTACTTATCCATTTGACATTGTGTATATTTCACTTTAAAAGATAAAATTTAAATTAAGAATAGAAAGTTACATAAGCAACTGAGGGACATGCTATTTATAATTGTTAAGTATGATTTGAAGTCATACCAAGAGTTAATCTTAGACCGGGCACCGTGGCTGTTGCCTGTAATCCCAGCACTTTGGGAGGCTGAGGTGGGTGGAACACGAGGTCAGGAGTTCAAGACCAGCCTGGCCAATATGGTGAAACCCTGTCTCTACTAAAAATACAAAAATTAGCCGGGCATGATGGTGCATGCCTGTAATCCCAACTACTTGGGAGGCTGAGGAAGGAGAATCGCTTGAACCTGGGAGCTGGAAGTTGCAATGAGCTGAGATTGTGCCACTGCACTCCAGCCTGGGCAACAGAGCGAGACTCCGTCTCAAAAAAAAAAAAAAAAATTAGGAGGGAGTGGTGGCAGCCACCTGTAATCCCAGCTGCTCGGGAGGCTGAGGCAGGAGAATCACTTGAACCTGGGAGGTGGAGGCTGCAGTAAGCTGAGATCACGCCATTGCACTCCAGCCTGGGTGAGAGTGAGACTCCATTTCAAAAACAAACAAACAAACAAACAAGAAAAAACAAAAAAGACTTAATTGTAGCTTTTCTCAATTCTTTATTAATATTGTTGTTAAACTGTTGAACTTCTTTTTCTATATAAATATACATCCCTTAAAATGTAAGTAACCTAGAGAAGTGTAACACATTGGGAAGCAAAATTATAGTGAGAATATCCATATGCCTTAAAGTAAATTAATAGCTGCACTAGAAATATTCTGAATAGAATAAGAGAACTAGAGTTGGAGTTTTGCTTGATGAAAGAGCATAGAAGGGGGTATGAAAAACAAGTCTTACCTAATTCCTGGTTTTGCCCAAGGCCTCCCTTGTTTTTAGCTTGTTAGAGTTTCTTTTTCTCAGTGAATGAGTTGTGTTCACTTGATATAAGCCACATAAGACACTGTAATGTCAACATACCTGAGGAACAAGAGACCTATCTTCTCTGTCTCTCTCTTTCTTGCAACAAATATTTATTGAATGCCTGCTTTGTGCCAGACACTCTGCTAGGTGCTGGGCAAACAATGATAAAACAAATATCCTTACCCTTGTGGAGCTTACATATAACAGAAAAGAAATTTGTGCTGGAAGCTTAAAAAATACACAGTGACTTTGAAAGATTTAGTCCCAGAAAAAACAAACTTCTCCCCGTATTCTACTCTCACAACACAAAATACTTCTGTGTCCTCTGGTCACCAAAATGTGTGAGGATTTCTTCCTACCAGCAACCAATCAACTCTACAGCAGACATTCATGTGGTGCCCTTTAATTCAATTCAATTCCGACACTATCTGCCTGGATATAGCATCAGACCCCACAGGTCAAAGGCTCAGTCCCACAGGCCTGCCCTCACTTCACATCAATCACAAGCCCGAGGTGGTTTTACCTGTTTCAGATCAACCAGCCATAAATATATACTTCACTAATAATATTGTGTTGATCACATATATTGAAATGATAATTTTTTAATATGTTGGGTTAAAAGAATTATTACAATACATAAATACACATCTTTAATGTCATGCATTCAAACAACAGAAGCATGTGAAATGTATGTAAAGTTTTCTTTATCCTACCTAAACTTTCACACCTTTTCCTCAAAAGTAACCATATTAATTTTTTGTGTGCAAGCTTCCAGAAATTTTCTTTGTCTGTACAAAAACAGATTTAATCCATTTATTACATGAATGGAATCATATTATGTTTATTCTTAGACTTCAAATGACTTTAATCTCTCAATCCATCCCAAAGCAGTATTATTCCCACACCTAAGCCAATCAACTCTGTTTCTTTCCTGATGTCACACTCAAAGCCAAATCTATTTTCTTTTCTTTTCTTTTTTCTTCTTCTTCTTTTTTTTTTTTTTTTTTTTTTGAGACGGAGTCTTGCTCTGTCGCCCACGCTGGAGTGTAGTGGCACGATCTCGGCTCACTGGAACCACCACCTCCCCGGTTCACACCATTCTCCTGCCTCAGCCTCCCGAGTAGCTGGGACTACAGGCGCCCGCCACCACACCTGGCTAATTTTTTTATATTTTTAGTAGAGACGGGGTTTCACCGTGTTAACCAGGATGGTCTCGATTTCTGGACCTCATGATCTGCCCTCCTTGGCCTCCCAAAGTGCTGGGATTACAGGCGTGAGCCACTGCGCCCGGCCTTTTTAATTTTTTTTTTTTTTTTTTATACAGAGTCTCACTCTGTCACCGGGCTGGAGTGCAGTGACGCCGATCTTGGCTCACGACAACCTCCGCCTCCTGGGTTCAAGCGATTCTCCTGCCTCAGCCTCCAGAGTAGCTGGGATTACAGGCGCCCACCACTACGCCCAGCTATTTTTTTTGTATTTTTAGTAGAGACGGGGTTTCACCATGTTGGCCAGGTTGGTCTTGAACTGCTGACCTCGTGATTCTCCTGCCTTGGCCTCCCAAAGTGTTGGGATTACAGACATGAGCCACTGTGCCCGGCCAAATCTATTTTCTTAAAGCATTTGCATCAATTTGATCTCTTCTGTGTCGTGTCTGCCTGTATTTAACTTGACCTGGTCTATGATGCTTTATAGGCTGGTAAAAAATGCAATAGAGAACAATTTTGCCTAAAATATCTGAAAAATTGATTCAATTCTTAATTGTTTACCAGACGAGTCTCAGCTTTTGTCTCCTATATAATCATACTTCAGTTTAACTCCTTTCTCCCTCCACTGCAAATTAACATCTGAATTTTTGTAATATAATTTTTGCTTTTTTAATATTAGAAGTTTATTCCAAACTATACTTTCTTAAATTCCATAAACCTTTTACTGGGAATATTCTTTTAAACCAGATCATTGACATTGCCATATGTGAGCTCAGAAGTGATTTCCATTTTGCATTTGTTCTGTAATTTTTTCTTCAATTTATTTTGCATCTATTAAAAATATTTTGGCAAATACATACTAGTGGGCTAATTTTACCCAAAGTAAACACATCCTTACATTGGGCAATTGAGACTTCTCCCACCATCCCCATACCATACTGCCTAGAATTTCACCAATAAACACTCACTGCTTTGGGCTAAGTATTGCCTCTTCCTGCTGTTTTTCTTTCTTCAAGTATAAGTAACCTAGGGAAGTGTAGTACATTGGGAAGCAAAACTACAGTCAGAACATTCATATGACTTAAATTAATAGCTGACTAGAAATATTCAGAATAAAATAAGAGAACTAGAGCTGGAGATTTGCCTGATGAAAAGGGCATAGGAGGGGGTATGAAAAGCAAGTCTTACCTAATGCCTGGTTTTGCCCAAGGCCTCCCTTGTTTTTAGCTTTTTAAGTTTTTTTGTTGTTGTTGTTTGCTTTGTTTTGTTTAGTTTTCCTCAGTGAAGTGAGTTGTGTCCACTTGGTGTAGGCCATGTAAGACACTGTAATGGCAACATATCTGAGGAACAAGAGACCTGTCTTCTCTCTCTCTTTCTTTCAACAAATATTTATTGAATGCCTACTTCATGCCTGGCACTCTTCTAGGTACTGGGCATACAATAATAAAACAAATATCAGCCTGGGCGACAGAGCGAGACTCCGTCTCAAAAATAAAAAATAAAAAAAATAAAAAATAAAAAAACACAAATATTCTCACCCTGTGGAACTTACATTATTACAGAGAAGAGACATAATAAATAAACATAATAATAAGTAAATGAGATACTATCTTTGTAGGTGATATGTTCTAAAAGAAAAAGAAAAATAGAAGAGGTTCAGAGAAATCACACGTTACTGAGGTGTAAATGGGCAGTTTGCAATTGTGAACGAGGTTACTATAGATTCATTGAGAAGGGGTCTTTTGAACAGAAGAGGTGCTGTTAACCATGAGAATAACCAAGAGCAGAGGAGAGAGCCAATAAAAGGCCACATGGTGGGTGTGTGCCTGGCTTGTTCAAGGAATAGCAAAGAGATGATTGTATTTAGAGTGTAGTGAACAAAAGGTAGAGTCGTAGCAGATACAGTCAGGGGAAATGGGAGGCCAGCTGGTGAAAGGTTCTGTAGGCAGTGCCCAAGCATAACAGGGAGCTATTGCAGGCTTTGCAGCAGAGCCTGAGAATGGCATGATTTAAAGCAGTCACACTGAATAGTGCTTGAGAATAGCCTTTTAGGGGCAAGAGCAGACACAAGGAAACGATCACAGTAACCTAAGAGTAAGATATGGTGCCTAGGACAACTGTGGCACATGTAGAGGTGGTAGGAAGTGATAGGATTCTATATCCATTTTGAAGGTAGTGCAGACTAGATTTGTTGACATCTGTCTATGATCGTGTGTAAAAAAGGGAGACAGGATGATTCTAGTGCCCCAGGAACTACAAAGATGGTGTTGCCATGATCCAAGACAAGGAAGGCCGTGGGAGGAGCAAGATTATGGGGATATCACGAGTTCAGTTTTGGACAACAGATTCGGATGCTGATTGTGAGACATCTATTAGATACGATGAGTATTTCTGAATCTAACTTGTCTGATCTGAGGGAAGCCACTTAACATCGCTGGGCTTCAACTGTAAAATGAGAAATTTATACTAGAATTACTTCAAGGTCCCTCTAACATTTTTGGATTCCAAGTTTTTTACTTGGCTAGGATATTTTGGGGCTAATTTACATAATGGCTCGTGGGTGCTGTCACAGATTAAATCTGATTTTTATAATTTTAAATAGGGTGGTGAGGGTAGGCCTCATTGAAATGGTGACTTTTAAACAAAGGAGATAAAGTTAGCCTGAAGGTATCTAAGAAAGAGCATTTTGGGCAGAGAAAAGTGCCCATGCAAGGGTCCTGGGATGAAAGTGGCCTGTTCAAGCAGTAGCCCAATTTGATAAGTAAGTGTAGGTTAAAATATAAGGCACACGTACAACAGATGAAACCCATGAAGAGACCAAAACGTTTTTAATGAAGAGAAAAAATAGGCATTAAAAAGCTGTAAAGGATTCAAAAGCTAGTGGAATATCAAATAGCTATTAAAATTTTTTGATGATTCAAACATAAATGAATCAGAAACATAAGAAATACTTTTTCTCTTAAAGTGCTGTGAACAGAAATTCAGATAAAATTCTTGGCAAATATATTTTAGCTTTTTAACCCTTTCCTCTTCCTCAAAAAAGATCTGGATTTTGATATTTAACCCCATCTCTACTAAAAATACACAAAATTAGCCGGGTGTGGTGGCGCGCACCTGTAGTCCCAGCTACTCAGGAGGCTGAAGCAGGAGAAAGCCGAGAACCTGGGAGGCGGGAGCTTGCAGTGAGCTGAGATCGTGCCACTGCATTCCAGCCTGGGTGACAGGGCGCGACTCCGTCTCAAAAAAAAAAAAAAAAAAAAAAAGAATTGCAGTTTTCATAAACAATCTCAAATTTGGCAATAACATAATTTTTTTTTCTTTTTTTCTTTTCTTTTTTGAGATGGAGTCTCGCTGTGTCGCCCAGGTTGGAGTGCAGTGGCACAATCTCCACTCACTGCAACCTCTGCCTCCCAGGTTCACACCATTCTCCTGCCTCAGCCTCCTGAGTAGCTGGGACTACAGGCACCCACCACCATGCCCGGCTAATTTTTTTGTGTTTTTACTAGAGACAGGGTTTCACTGTGTTAGCCAGGATGGTCTCGATCTCCTGACCTTGTGATCTGCCCACCTCAGCCTCCCAAAGTGCTGGGATTACAGGCGTGAGCCACCACGCCTGGCCCATAATTTGGTTTATAAAGAAATAAATTGAATCAACAAATGGGGTAGCTACTAGAAATAATACCAATCAATCACAAAATAATGAACTTTTCAATTGTATGAACTCCTTTTTGATATAGTTAGGAGTTAAAAAAATTAAATGAAAGCAGGGAAGATATGTTATTTTCCAGGATTCTTACATTTCCTAAGATTTTGGAGGGGGAGGCAAATTATCTTCTTTTTTTCTGCTCCCTTAATTAAAATCTGTTGATGTCTAACATAAAGCCAGAAAAATTGGGATAGATACTCCCTTTACTTAGGTGAGATGTGAGACCCTTCCTAGCTTCCTGGTGCTGGAATAATTACAATGTTAAGTGGGAAAGAACAGAGAGGAGATTGGGCTGGGCTGAGTGGTGGTGAATGCCATGTGGGGAATGCTAGCTGAAGATAGTAACGGATCCAGGAAGATAGACTTAAAGCCTCTGATCATGGCCCTAGATAATAATAATAATAATAATAACAACAATAATAATAATAATAATAATAACTTACAGAGTGCTTACTATGTAGTGGACTACATTTCACATTTCGGTAACACTATCTGTCTTTCACTCTGACAAGTAAAATACATAGCAACGGGTCGAAAGATTTTTAGGATGAAAATGTATTCTGCTGCCTTGCACTTTCTACTGTTTCCAACAGCAGAATTTCACTGCCAGTTTTATTTTATTTTTTTACAAATAACTTATTCTATCTGGGAGCTTGTAAGATTTTTCTCTTTATCTTTGGGGGAAATAATAACAGGAATTCTTAAGGGAGCTTACTATGAGCCAGGAAATATTAAAAGATTTGACATATATTAATACATTTAATCATCACAGCAACACTTTCCTATTTCACAAGTGAGAAAACTGAGGAAAAGAAGTTGAGTAACCTGTTCAAGTTAAATAGTCTTCAGTGGAGATCAGGATAGCTGGTGAAAGGAAGAGACCACAGGGGATGAAACAAACAACATGTACAAGTGATTTTAAAGATATTGTGCTTCAGAGAATGCTGGAAATTTGAACAGAGAAATTGTGTCAAGGGTGATGGAGCTGCCTGAATACTAGTACCCTGATGTGTGTAGCAAAGGAGGGAATTAGTTGAAAGAAATTCTCTGGGCCCAAAGCAAAAAAACCATCCTGGGTTAGATCCTATCTCTTCTCTCCTAAAACTTACTTAGGAGGATGCAAAATCTTCCCCATGGCTTCTGTGGCGTTGCATGTAGACCTCTGTAAACACTTGTATGTTCTGTTTATTTTGTTTTGGTTGCCCAGCCCTTTGAATACTCTCCCTGTGTTTAGGGAATTCACAGCTCTTCCAGATCATGCCTTCCTGCACAAGCCATGGAGCCTTTCCAGCCTTTTTTTTTCTTTCTTTTTTTTTGAGACGGAGTTTTGCTCTTATGTCACCCAGGCTGGAGTGCAATGGCGCCATCTCAGCTCACTGCAACCTCCACCTCCCGGGTTCAAGCGATTCTCCACTTAGCCTCTGGAGTAGCTGGGATTATAGACGCTCGCCACCATGCCCAGTTAATTTTTGTATTTTTAGTAGAGATGGGGTTTTGCCATGTTGGCCAGGCTGGTCTCGAACTTCTGACCTCAGATGATCCACTAACCTAGGCCTCCCGAAATGCTGGGATTACAGGCATGAGACAACACACCCAGCCCCCAGCCCTACTTTTATCAGAGTGTAAACTACAGCAAATATGAATGGCTAAAGAGCTGGCGATGTTTAACTGGAGGTGAGGAGGCTTTACTGGAGGGGGTGGGTGAAGGACACCATTGATAGAGATCTCTCCAAATATTTGGAGAGCCGGCAAATGAAAGAAGGCTGTGACTTGAGAGTAGAAGTTGGGCAGAAAGAGTAGTTGGGGAAGAAAGAGAGAGAGAGAGATAGTCAAGCCAGTGGAGGGATAAATTTCAAGCACATTCTCTAAAACTATTGCTTTTGCAATAAAAAAAAATCAACTTTATTGAGGTATAGTTTACACACAATAAAAATGCACCTTTTTTTTTTTGAAACGGAGTTTCGCTCTTGTCACCCAGGCTGGAGTGCAATGGTGTGATCTTGGCTCACTGTAACCTCTGCCTTATGGGTTCAAGTGATTCTCCTGCCTCAGCGTCCCAAGTAGCTGGGATTACAAGCATGTGCCACCACGCCCGGCTAATTTTTTGTTTTGCTTTGTTTTGTTTTGTTTTGAGACAGTCTCTCTCTGTTGCCAGGCTGGAGTGCAGTGGCATGATCTCAGCTCACTGCAATCTCCGGCCCCTAGGTTCAAGCTATTCTCCTGCCTCAGCCTCCCGAGTAGCTGGGACTACATGCGCCACCACACCTGGCTAATTTTTGTATTTTAGCAGAGACGGTGTTTCACCATGTTGGCCAGGATGGTCTCGAACTCCTGACCTCAGGTGATCTACCCGCCTCGGCCTCCCAAAATGCTGGGATTACAGGCATGAGCCACTGCACCCAGCCAAAAATGCACCTATTTTAAGCATACATTTTCATGAATTTTGACAAATGAATACATCTATGTAACTGTTCCAAGATACAGCACGTTGCCATCACCCCGCAATGTTTCCTTTTGCTTCATTCCAGTAACCCACTCCTATCCCCAGTCCGAGGCAACCACTAACCTGATTTTGGTCTTTCTAGATTACTTTTGCCTTTTCTAAAATTTCTTGTAAATGTAATCATGCATTTTATGTCTGGCTCCTTTCACTCCGCATGTTTTAGAGATTTATCACTGTTATAGCATGTATCAATTATTCATTTCTATTCACTGTTCAGTTATACTCCATTGACTAGATATATCATTTTTTTTACCCACTCATTTGTTGATGGACAAAGCCTTTTTCCAAATTTTATCTTGCAGCTGCCATGGCCATTCATGTACAAATGTTTTTGAGGACATCAATTTTCATTTCTTTTGGGTAAATACTTATGAGTGAAATAGCTAGGTTACATAGTAAGTGCATATTTAACTTTTTTTTTTTTTTTTTTTAGGCAGAGTCTCCTACTGTTGCCCAGGCTGGAGCACAGTGGCGTGATCTTGGCTCACTGCAACCTCCACCTAGCGGGTTCAAGTGATTCTCCTGACTCAGCCTCCCAAGTAGCTGGGATTACAGGTGCCCGCCACCACGCCTGGCTCACTTTTTTGTATTTTTAGTAGAGACGGGGTTTCACTATGTTGGCCAGGCTGGTCTTGAACTCCTGACCCCAAGTGATCCGCCCACTTCAGCCTCCCAAAGTCCTGGGATTACAGGTGTGAGCCACTGCACCCAGCTGCATATTTAACTTTTTAAGAAACGGCAAAACTTTTTTCCAAAATGGGTGTGCTAGTTTACATTTTCACCGGCAATGTATGAGATTTCCAGTTGCTCCAAACCTTTGCTAACATTTAGTATTGTCTTTTTAAATTATAGCCCTTCTCATAGGTATATAGTGGTATATCATGGTTTTAACTTGCACTTGCCTAATGACTAATGATTTTGGATAGTCAACATTTTTTCTTAAACTTATTTGTTATTCATATAGCTTATTTGGTGAAGTGTCAGTTGAAATGTTATGCCTTTTCATGAGTGGTTTGTCTTCTTAATAAGTTGTGACGATTCTATTTTCTGCATAGAAGTTCTTTACCAGGGTGATGTTTTTCAACTATTTTCTCTAAAATCCATGGTTTGAATTTTATTTTCTTAATGATAATGATATCATTTTAAGATAAAAAGATTTTAATTTTGACAAAACAATTTATCAAACATTTTCTTTTATGGTTCATGCTTTTTGCATTCTATCTAAACACTGTCTTTGCCTAATTAAAGGTAACAAAGATTTTCTTGTACAAGTCTCATTACTTTAGCTCCTATACTTAGACCTAGATCTATTTGGAGCTAAATTTTAAATATGGTATAAAGTAAGGGTCAAGATTCATATTTTTGCAAATGGAAATCTAATTGTTCCATCATCATTTGTCAAAAGTACAATTATTTTATTATTGCATTATCTTGGATCAAATGATAGTTTATTTGTGAGCCTACCTTTGGACTCATTATTTTGTTCCATTGATTTCTATGTCTATCTTTATACTGGCACATCATCTTGATTAATGTAGCTTTATAGTAAATGTTGAAAATGGATAATGTGTCTCCCAAATTTGTTTTTCTTTCTCAATATAGTTTTTCTGTTTTAGATCTTTTGCATTTCCATACAAATTTTATAATCAGCTTGTCATCTTCAAAACAAAAAGTCTTTTGGGGTTTTGATTGGCATTACATTGAATCTATAGGTTAATTTGGGGAAAATTGTCATCATAATATTGATAAACAATTTAACACTGTATGTCTCTCTGATTATAAAGGTTTTCTTTAATTATTATTATTATTATTTTTTTGAGATAGAGCCTCACTCTATCCCCTAGGCTGGAGTGCAGTGGCACGATCTCAGCTCACTGCAACCTCTGCCTTTGGGGTTCAAGCAATTCTTCTGCCTCAGCCTCCTGAGTAGCTGGGACTACAGGCGCATGCCACCACGCTCAACTAATTTTTGTATTTTTAGTAGAGACGGGGTTTTACCATATTGGCCAGGCTGGTCTCGAACTACTGACCTCAGGTGATCCACCCGCCTCGGCCTCCCAAAGTGCTGGGATTACAGATATGAGCCACCGAGCCTGGCCCTCTTTAATTTTTTAATAGTTTTTTGCAGTTTTCTTTTTTCTTTTTTTTGAGATGGAGTCTTGCTCTGCGGCCCAGGCTAGAGTGCAGCGACGTGATCTCAGCTCACTGCAACCTCTGCCTCCCAGGTACAAGCGATTCTCCTTGAATCTCATCCTTCTGAGTAGCTGGGATTACAGGCATGCACCACCATGCCCAGCCAATTTTTATATTTTCAGTAGGGATGAGGTTTCACTGTGTTGGCCAGGCTGGCCTTGAACCGACCTCAACTGATCCATCTGCCTTGGCCTCCCAAAGTTCTGGGATTACAGGCATGAGTCAGTGCACCTGGCCTAATAGTCTTTTGTAGTTTTCAACGTACATGTCTAGTACACTTTTGTTCAAATTATCTTCAAATATATTATGTTTCTTATGCTGTAATCAGTGGTATTTTAAAACTTCAATTTCTAATTGTTAATAGTATTATAGTTGATTTTTTGTGTATTGACATTGTTTCCAGTAAACTTGCTAACCTCACTTATTAGAATTAATGTTGTTTTTGAAGATTTCTTAACATTTCCAGCTATACGATTGTGTTCTCTGTAAATAAACACAGCTTTAATTTTTCCTTTGCAATGTTTGCCTTTTATTTCTTTTTCTTTTTTTTTTTTTTTTTGGACTTAAATGACTCACTAGGACCTCCAGAATGATGTTGAATAGAAATGAAAGGAGAAGCCATCCTTGCTTTTTACTCAGTCTTAAGGGAAAAGCATATAATCTTCCATCATTTTAATGTTAGCCATAGGGTTTTACAGATGCTCATTTGTAAAAAGAAAAACAAAAACAGTTTTTGATGTCGCTGATTTCCTCTTTCATTTGTTTCTGCTATTAGCTTTATCACTGCTTTCTTTCTGTTTACTTTGGGTTTTATTACTTCTCTGTGTAGTTTCTTAAAGTACACTCTTAGATTATTTGAGCATTTAACGTTACACATTGGCCAGGCTCAGTGGCTCATGTCTCTAATACCAGCGATTTGAGAGGCTGAGGAAGGAGGATTCCTTGAGTTTAGGAGTTCAAAACCAGCCTGGGCAACATGACAAAACCCTGTCTCTACAAGAAAAAAAAATTAGAAAAATTAGCTAGGAGTGGTGGCACACACCTGTAGTCCCAGCTACTTGGGAGGCTGAGGTAGGAGGATCACCTGAGTCTGGGAGGCTGAGGCTGCAGTGATCTGTGTCAGTGCCATTGCACTCCAGCCTGGGTGACAGAGTGAGACCCTGTCTTAAAAAAAAAAAGTTACAAATTTCCCTCAGCATCCTCCTTTAGGTGTCCTCTACAAATTTTGGTATGTTGTGTTTTCATTTTTATTCAGTTTAAAATATATTGTGATTTTCTTTGTTTGTATTTATTTATTATATTTTTTCCCATAGGTTATTGGGGTAAAGGTGGTATTTCGTTACATGAGTAAGTTCTTTAGTGGTGATCTGTGAGATTTTGGTGCACCCATCACCCAAGCAGCATTCAATGCACCCCATTTGTAGTCTTTTATCCCTCGCCCCCCTCCCAACCTTCCCCCCAAGTCCCCAAAGTCCACTGTATCATTCTTATGCTTTTGCATCCTCATAGCTTAGCTTCCACGTATCAGTGAGAACATAAAATGTTTGTTTTCCATTCCTGAGTTACTTCACTTAGAATAATAGTCTCCAGTCTCATCCAGGTTGCTGCAAATGCTGTTAATTCATTCCTTTTTTATGGCTGAGTAGTATTCCATCATATATATGTATACCACAGTTTCTTTATCCACTCATTGATTGATGGGCAGTTGGATTGGTTCCACTCTAATTACCTCTGTGTTTTTTTCTGTGAGTTATTTGGAAATGTATTGTTTATTGTTTAATTTCTAAATACTGGGTGAGTTTCCAGAAATATTTTTCTTATTGACTTCTAATTTAATTTTGTTTGGGTTTAGAATATATAGTGTATGTTTTCAATGCCTTTAAACTTACTGAGACTTCTTTTAAGACAGAACATTATCTATCTTTGTGAATGTTCTATCAGCATTTAAAAAGAATGTGTATTTTATTGTTGTTAGTGGAGTGTTAAACGTGATGTTAGTGTTGTTCAAGTTGTGAGTGTTGCAGTGCTGTCTGCTTATTCTGTCCAATACTGAAAGAGGAGTTTTGAGCACTGTAATTGTAGATGTGTCTTTTTTTCCTTTCCATCTAATTAATTTTTACTTCATGTGTTTTGAATCTCTATTTTTAAGTGCATGAATATTTCGGGTTGTTACGTTTTCTTCAAGAATTAACCCTGTAATAATTATAAAATGTACTTTTTAGTGTCTGTTAATATTCACTGTTTTGAATTCTAATTTGTCTAATATATAGAGCCATTTCAACTATTTTTTATTAGTTAGTATACTATATGGTTTTTAAAAAAATTCTGTTCAAAATTATCTATGTCTTTATATTTAAAATGGGTTTATTGTAGGTGGCATATTTTTGAGTCTTGCTTTTTAAATTTTTTTATTGTGGTAAAATATATATAATATAAAATTTGCCATTTTCACCATTTTAAGTGTACAATTTAGTAAAAATAACTTCATTCACATTGTTGTGCAATCATCACCACTATTCATTTCCAGAACTTTTTCACCATCCTGAACTGAAACTCTGTACCTATTAAGCAATAACTCCTCCTCACTCTCTCCAACCCTCAGCCCCAGTAACCTCTATTCTACCTTCTGTCTCTATGATTTTGCCTATTCTAGGTATCTCATATACAGGGAATATTTGTCCTTTTGTGTCTGGCTTATCTCACTTAACATAATGTATTCAAGGTTCATCCGCTGGGTGCGGAGGCTCACGCCTGTAATCCCAGCACTTTGGAAGGCCGAGGAAGGCAGATCATCTGAGTTTAGGAGTTCGAGACCAGCCTGGCCAACATGGTGAAACCCTACCTCTACTAAAAATACAAAAATTAGCTGGGCATGGTGGCAGGCACCTGTAATCCCAGCTACTCGGGAGGCTGAGACAGGAGAATCATTTGAACCCGGGAGGTGGAGGTTGCAGTGAGCCGAGATCACACCACTGCACTCCAGTCTGGGTGACAGAGTGAGATGCTGTCTCAAAATAAAAAAAAAAAAGCTGTTCATCCAGGTCATAGTAAGTACCAGAATGTCATTCCTCTTTATAGTTAAATAATATTCCATGGTATATATAATATATAAATATATATAATATTGTATACATACTATATATATATAAAACATTTATAAAAAAATCAATTGGATTGTTTCGGTCAGCCAAACCTACAGTAGAGTAACCCAAAAGTGGCAGCAGGAAAGTTCCCACAAGTGAGTGTCCCAAACTGGCCAGTTAAAATTTCAAAGAAAGAAGCATTAAATGCCAGAGAGTAATCAGTCTAAAGCATTTATTAGGGGAACTTACCTCGGAAGGAAGCTATAGCATATATTTTGTTTTGTTTTGTTTTGTTTTGAGACTGAGTTTCGCTCTTGTTGCCCAGGCTGGAGTGTAGTGGCACGATCTTGGGTCACTGCAACCTCAGCCTCCTTGGTTCAAGCGATTCTCATGCCTCAGCCTCCCATGTAGCTGGGATTACAGGCATGCGCCATCACGCCCAGCTAATTTTGTATTTTTAGTAGAGACAGAGTTTCTCCATCTTGGTCAGGCTGGTCTTGAACTCCCAACCTCAGGTGATCTATCCTCCTCGGCCTCCCAAAGTGCTGGGATTACAGGTGTGAGCCACAGCGCCCAGCCAGCTACAGTATATTCTTATGACAGACAGTGAGACAAAGGATGTCCTGCCTAGGTAGGACATGTTTGCCATGAAGAGGGTGGGTTATGGAGTTATATGAGAGTTTAAGGAACCTGGCTCAAGGTGAGGGCTAGTTTTCTTTGTGTTTAACATTAGTCTCTCAGTGTTGTTGAACATCAACTAAACAGTTTCAACAGGGAACGATCAAGGCCCTTGCTTGGGTTTGAGCCTACAGGGGACCACATGCTGCTGGTTGACTCTCAGAGCTGTCAGGGCACTCTATTCTCGTCCAGGACAGAGAAAATAGTGGGGGGAACTAAGGAACCCTAACTGGGATTTGCTTTTTTAGCCTCTTTGACAATTTCTGCTTTTTATTTGGAGTGTTTGTGGGAGGTGACAGCATGCTGGCAGTCCTTAGAGCCCTCGGTTGCTCTCGGCACCTTCCCTGCCTGGGCTCCCACTTTGGTGGCATTTGAGGAGCCCTTCAGCCCCCCACTGCACTGTGGGAGCCCCTTTCTGGGCTGGCCAAGGCTGGAGCCCACTCCCTCAGCTTGCAGGGAGGTGTAGAGGCAGAGGCGTGAGCAGGAACCGGGGCTGCGTTCGGCGCTTGCGGGCCAGCTGGAGTTCCGGGTGGGCGTGGGCTTGGTGGGCCCCGCACTCGGAGCAGCCAGCCAGCCCTGCTGGCCCCGGGCAATGAGGGACTTAGCACCCGGGCCAGTGGCTGCGGAGGGTGTACTGGGTCCCCCAGCAGTGCCGGCCCACCGGCGCTGTGCTCGATTTCTCGCCGGGCCTTAGCTGCCTTCCCGCGGGGCAGGGCTCGGGACCTGCAGCCCGCCATGCCTGAGCCTCCCCCCCACTCCATGGGCTCCTGTGCGGCCCGAGCCTCCCCGACGAGCACCACCCCTTGCTCCACGGCGCCCAGTCCCATCGACCACCCAAGGGCTGAGGAATGCGAGCGCACGGTGCAGGACTGGCAGGCAGCTCCACCTGCAGCCCCAGTGTGGGATCCGCTAGGTGAAGCCAGCTGGGCTCCTGAGTCTGGTGGGGACGTGGAGAGTCTTTATATCTAGCTCAGGGATTGTAAATACACCAATCAGCACCCTATGTTTAGCTCAAGGTTTGTGAGTGCACCAATCCACACTCTGTATCTAGCTGCTCTGGTGGGGCCTTGGAGAACCTTTATGTCTAGCTCAGGGATTGTAAACACACCAATCAGCACCCTGTGTTTAGCTCAAGGTTTGTGAGTGCACCAATCGACACTCTGTATCTAGCTGCTCTGGTGGGGCCTTGGAGAAACTGTGTGTCGAAACTCTGTATCTAACTAATCTGATGGGGACGCAGAGAACTTTTGTATCTAGCTCAGGGATTGTAAACACACCAATCAGCGCCCTGACAAAACAGGCCACTCGGCTCTACCAATCAGCAGGATGTGGGTGGGGCCAGATAAGAGAATAAAAGCAGGCTGCCGGAGCCAGCATTGGCAACCTGCTGGGGTCCCCTTCCACACTGTGGAAGTTTTGTTCTTTCACTCTTTGCAATAAATCTTGCTACTGCTCACTCTTTGGGTCCACGCTGCTTTTATGAGCTGTAACACTCACCACGAGGGTCCGAGGCTTCATTCTTGAAGTCAGTGAGACCAAGAACCCACCAATTCCGGACACATTTGGACTATTTACTTTTAATGTAATTATCAATACAGTCGGTTTAAATCTACCATTTTGTTGTTGGTTTTCTATTTGTTTCATTTGTTCTCTCTTCCTTTTTTTCACCTCTTCAGGATTATTTTGGATTCACTACTTTTTTTAGAGTGTCGTTTTACCACTACTATTGGCCTATTACCTGTATCTCTTTTTTTTAATGGCATTTCTCTAGGATTTACAATATGCATCTTTAGCTTATAGTATCTTGAAATAGTAGTGTAACACTTCACAAATAGAGTAAAAACCTTATAATCTTCCATTTTTCCCTTCCTTCTTTTGTGCTATTGATGACACATATTTACTCCTACAGATATTATAAACAAATTGATATACACACATTATCATTTTTGCTTTACATACTCAATTATCTTTTAAATAAAATAAAAATTGAGGAGAAAATCCGTTATATTATCTACACATTTACTGTTTCCAGCACTTTTCATTTCTTTGTGTAGATTCAAATTTCTGTCATCTTCCCTTTGCCCAAAGAACTTCTTTTCATCTTTCTTATAGTTCAGGTCTGCTGGCAACCAATTAGCTCAGCCTTTGTTTTGCTAAAAAAGTTCATATATTATCTTGATTTTCAAATGGTATTTATGCTCTATATAGAATTCTTAGTTGACTTTAATTCCTTCATCATTGGAAGATGTCATAATGGCTTGCAAAGACTAGAAATCTGCTTACATTTTTTTATTTGTTATCTTTCTTACTCATGTATCCTTTTTCCTCAGTCTGCTTTAACTTTTTAAATCACTGGTTTTCTGTAATTGGATTATGTTGTTCTTTGGTACATCTTTAAAATATTTATTCTGCTTTTGGTTCATTGACCTTCTCGTACCTGTGGATTTATAGTTTTCATCAACTTTGGAAAAGTTTTGGCTGGCAAAATTATACATACGTTAGACCGGTTGTTATTGTCCCACAAGGCACTAAGGATTTTTTTTTTTTTAAGTTTTTTTCTCTCTCTCTGCTTCATGTTGTATTATTTCTGTTGCAGTCACCAAGCTCACTAATTTTTTCTTCTGCAGTATCTAATCTGTTGTTAATCCTATTAGGTGAAATTTTTACTTAAAATATTATATTTTTCATCTTCAGAAGTGCTGAGACTTTTAAAATATTTTTCTTTTCTTCCTTCCTTATATTTATGTTCTCCTATATCTTTGTGAGCACATACTTATAATAGCTATAATACATGTCTGCTAATTCCATTATCTCTGTCATTTTTGGGTTCCATTTACTAAATTTTTGCTCGGTTATGGGTCACATTTTCCTACTTTCTGCATGTCTGATGATTTTTAAAAATTGGATTAAGATTGTGTGTTTTACATTGTTTAGTGCTGGATTTTGTTGTACTCTTTTAATGAGTGTTAAGACTTTTTCGTGAGCAGTTAGCTTTTGAAGGTTACTTTTGATCTCTTGTGAGGCCTGTTTCTAAACTCTTTTAGGGAGGTTTTAGAATGGTAAATTCTAGAGCTAATTTAGTCCCACTTCTAAGGCATAACACTTTTCAAGTCTCTACTGAATGGCTAAGTATTCAACAAGATTTTTTCACTTTGAATGAAGGAAACTCCATCCACAAAGGTTTTTGATCCTGTGTGATTTCTGGGAATTGTTCATTTTACAGTTTCTCAGTAATTAGTCTTTTCTCAGAAGATTTTCTTGCCCAACAAAGAGTTTCACATTACACATACAGAAATTGATAGTCACAAAAAATTCAAGGGGACTCTCATGCAGATTTCTAGACCCCTTCTGCTGCTTAGCTCTCTCTCTATTGAACTCTGCCCTTAAGTTATAGCTACTTTGGCCTACTCATACTGATCTTTGTTTCCTCAACTGAACAAGACTCTGACTTCATTTTCTTTTGGCTATTTCTTGGAATTTTCCTCAAGGCAGTACTCTAGGATAATGATAGAGATTCAGGAATTCAGTTCTGCATCGCCTTATATCTAATATCTGAAAATTGTCCTTTCATATATTTTGCCTTATTTTCTAGTTGTTTATGGTAGGCAAGTGATTCTTGTATCAGTTTATCCTTCACAGGTAGATGCAGAAGTTCCCTTTGCAAAAATTTAAAAGCCATTATATTGATATGGCAGATAAGACTGATGAAAAAACATTAGAGGAAGCCCTGTGAAAGAAGAGATTGAAACATCTGAGGGCAATTTGTGTAATACCTTGAAATTAAAGTCAAAGACAGCATCCTTTTGAGTACTATCCACCCTCACTCCCAGTTTCCCCCACCAATTGTTAAGGCTCCCTTCCTCTGCCAGCTCTGGGTCACTTTTAAGGCCTTTTATAACTTAAATATTCTGTTTTTTAAATGCTTTTGGGTTTAAGAAAAAAATAGATGGCTAAATAACATCTTGCTATTTACAAAGATTAATGGGGTCCTCCAAGGTCATTTATCTTCATGGTGGTTTTTCCCTCTACAGAGCTGTACAACATCCTGTAGAATTTATGCTACTGTGTACTTAGTGAAGACATTCCACAATTATTTTGAAGCTCAAGAAGCCATAGCTAAAAGCAATTAAAAATTGATCTGAACACAGTAATAGTAAAATCTATAAAGATTTCTGATTTTCCCCTTAGTATATCATATTGCCAGAGTTTTTGGATCTCTCATTCTACAAATGCCTATTTAGATTTTGTGATTTGGTAAAAGTTAGTATCCATTAAGCATAAATCCCCTTGTTGTAAGGCAAACATCCTTTTCCTATAAACATAAACTGGAAAACAGCAAGAGAGATTTTCTCCCTCAGTGTTTGTGCTGATGGGAGTGCTGTGGTTTTTTGCTATGTTCACAAGCTGACAAACAGGACAGTACATTTTTTGCATTGTTTCAGGCCATGTAAATTTTTCTAAACACATGGCTAATGCTTGCCAAGCCTCAGCCAATAACACTGACATTTTCTTCATCCACAAAGCTTACCACATGGATTACATCTATGCATTACTCACACAACATAATCATTGGCCCATATGCCAGAAGGAAATACAATTTTACAGTTGCCTCTAAAGCACACATTTCCAGCTTTGGTTCCACATGTAAGACAGATTTGCAGCTTGCATTTTCTTACACTCAGCCCAACACATTCAACTCAAGCAGAAGTATATGTTCCATAAGCCAGTTTTTTGTTGTAGAAAACTCTTGTTTCTTTTCTGACAATCTGTCACCTATTAAAAAAAAAAAAAAGAGCAACACGCACTGTTTGCATTGTTAAACTTAAAACAAGTCCAGAGGAAAATGTGCCTTGGAAATCCTTCACTGACTTGTTTTTGTAGAACAGCTGGAGGTGAGGCCCACCATACTAATCACGTCCAGTTGCTGCTGGTCAAGTTGCACATTCAGGAAATTCATAATTAGGTGGTTATATCCCCTCAGTTTACCCCAAAGAACTCTTTATGACTCTCGATTTATCTTTTTCCTTGTTATTCAAAAGAACCAAAAAATAAAGGTGACATGAGAGGGAAAAAGACATTAAAATTGAATTGTAGTGTTACCTGTAAAAGAAACCACATTGTCTTGACTGCCACCCCCTCTTAAAAATAAAAATAGTCACAGCATGTATATAGCTTAGTATGTGTGTGTGGTAGTTCTCAGAAACATTAAAAATTGTGCACATGTACCCTAAAACTTAAAGTATAATAAAAAAAATGTAGAGAGGGTTTTCTCCTTAAAAATTATGCTCTGGAAAATTCATCTGCTTCTGTTGTGATTTCAAAGGGTGTGGCTTTAATAAGATCAACTGGTATTACCTGGACTTCAAAGATTTTCAACACTTCATGTAAATTGTGTACATTTCCTTATTCTCTCTGCTTCTCTCTCCTTCTCCAACTTGGCAATATTCAATAATTATTATAGTGTTGTAATTTGTACCTTGAGTGTTTGTCAATCTCTTGTTGATTTTTAACAAGATTCTGAGTTCGATATCTAAGGTGTGGCTTTTAATGCATATTTCAGACCAGCAGCATTTCTTGAACTTTTAAATTCTGTTTTTTTTTTTTTTTTTGAGATGAAATTTCGCTCTTGTTGCCCTGGCTGGAGTGCGATGGTGCCATCTTGGCTCACTGCAACCTCCGCCTCCTGGGTTCAAGCGATTCTCCTGTCCCAGCTTCCCGAGTAGCTGGGACCACAGGCATGCGCCACCACTCCTGGCTAGTTTTTGTATTTTCAGCAGAGACGGGGTTTCTCCATGCTGGACAGAGTTGTAAATGGGACCACAATCTAGCTGTTCTTCATTTTTTTTCCCAAAAGCAAATTTAAAATGTTAATTTATATATTAAAAACAAGACTTTTACACATAGCAACAATTATTTCCATAGATTTTCCTCTAAAAATGTCGTTATGTGAATTATAGGTGCATTTTAGGCTCCAATTTCAAATTTTACAGCTTTTGAATGTAAAGTTCAATAGTGAAGAAAATGGTTACGCTTGAAATCCAACTAGTAGCCTGGAAACTGGATGCAAGAAATATTTCAAAGCTTAGAGAGAAAGAAAGTAAAGCATGAGTAGAGAGATGCAGGAGGGGTTTAAGAGAACCGACATGCAAACAATAGGCGTTCCAGAAGGAAAAAATGATGTGCACGAAGAAGAAAATGAAGCATGAAAACAAACGAAATGAAGATTTACCTGGACTGAAGAAAAGATGCCAAGTTTCAGGCAGAAATGTTGAGAAAGGATTATATATATACATGCACTATGGCTATATATATCCTAATAAAATTTTTGTACTCCAAAGATAAAGACAAACAATCTCATTCTTTCTGAGTATAAGCTTGTAAGTTATTTATAAAAGAAAAGAAATTAGACTGGTACTGAAATTTCTCCTTTGCAACATTGGAAGCTAGAAGTCAGTGGAGTACGTTTTCGACTCCAAGATATATTTCACCTGTAAGGGTGAAAGAATGATATTTGAAGGTTTGTAAGGATTCAGAGAAGTCATGAACCTTACTCAACTGGGAAAAATATTAGAAAAAAAACTTCATAAAAGCAACAACTAATAAAAAGAAGAAGAGCGAAAGCCGTAATGAGCAATGAATTTTTGATAACTAATTAAAAAAAATGGACAATGATATGCTGGGAGTGTGTAACATAAGTACTAAACAAAGACTCTAGAAATAGAGGAGCATATAAAAGGAAAGTTCTAATAAAAACTTTGGATTTAAAGAATTAAACCACCTCAGTAGAATTGAAGAATTGTAGTAAGGAGGGATATGAGAAAAAAGGAAGCAAAAATATTCCAAAGCCTTCACCTGTTTGGAGGTGAGAGAGGAGAGAATTGCAATAAAAAGTCTTCTTTAAGCTGTAAGTTATGGGTGGGGAGAGCAGTGGAGTAATACAATTTCCCAGTAGGGGAAAAGTTGGTGTCTTATTTTCATATAATAAAATACATGTTTGATTATATGTGAGAGCTGGGAAAGGGCAGGTAACAATAAAATGTAAAAATGTAAACAGTAAAATCTCAAAGCAAGTTTGGTGCTATTAATGTCATAAAACTTAAATTTAATGGAATTTAAAATTAAAATATCTAAACCGAGGCTGGGTGCAGTGGCTCACACGTGTGATCCCAACACTGTGGGAGGCCAAGGCAGGAGGATCCCTTGACCTCAGGAGTTTAAGACTGGGGAATATAGTGAGCCTTTGCCTATACAAAAACATTAAAAATTAGCTGGGTGTTGTGGCACACACCTGTAGTCCCAGCTACTTGGGAGGCTGAGGTGGGAGGACTGCTTGAGCCTGGAGGTCAAGGCTGCAGTGAGTGGCGATCACACCACTGCACTCCAGCCTCGGTGACAGAGCAAGACCTTGACTCAAAAAATAAAAAATAAAATAAAGGCTGGGCATGGTGGCTCACGCCTGTAATCCCAGCACTTAGGGAGGCTGAGGCAGGCAAATCACCTGAGGTCAGGAGCTCGAGACCAGCCTGGCCAACATGGTGAAATCCTGTCTGTACTAAAAACACAAAAATTAGCCGGGCGTGGTGGCAGGCGCCTATAATCCCAGCTACTCGGGAGGCTGAGGCAGGAGAATCGCTTTAACCCAGGAGGTGGAGGTTGCAGTGAGCCGAGATTGCGCCATCGCACTTCAGCCTGGGGGACAAGAGCAAGACTTTGTCTCAAAAATAAATAAATAAATAAAATAAAATCTGTAAACTGAAAAAAGAGGGATACTGCATAATAATAAAAGCATAATTTATGAAGAAAATAAAAGTTATAACCTTATATGCATAAAAAACATAGCAGCTAAATATAATTAAAAATTATTGGAAATATAACTTAAAAAAATTACAGTAAATGATTTGAATACCAGAATTGGCTAATTCCGACAGAGAGAGAGAGAGACATTGAGAAATTTAATAATACAATCATGAAGCTTGAAGCTTGATTTTATATGGATACAGTTGGTTCTCATTATTTGAAAATTTGCCTACTTGCTAAAATTTATTTGTAACTAGCACATCAATACGCCTGACACTGCTGACAGTCACAGACATGTGCAGAGTGACAAAAAAATTTGAGTTGCCTGGTGCACATGTTCTCAACTGAAGTTAAACAAGGTGAAACTCTGCCTTCTTATTCCAGCTCTTATACTGTAAAGAAGTGTCTTTTTAGCAGTCTATTTAGTGCCACATTGTCTGCCTTTTTGTGCTTTTTGCTGAGAATTTCACTATGTAAAATGGCCTTGAAGGGTAATGCTGAATTGCTGTCTAGTGTTCCTGAGCTTAAGAGGGCTGTGATGTGCCTTGCAGAGCAAATACTTACGTTAGATAAACTTTGTTCAGACATGAGTTATAGTGCTGCTGGCCATAGCTTTGATGTTAATGAATCACCGATATATATTAAACAAGGTTGATGAGAATGTTGTGACCAGAGGCACACAGGAACCTAACCCTGTATTTCCCCTACGGTTCAGCATTCAATAACTTAACATCACAGTAACTTTATAGGACATGCTCACCTCGAATAATGAGAGTCAACTGTATATAGATTTAGAGAGAACTTTAAGTTCCTCAAACATAGAATACCTATTTTTTGTATTCCATGGAGGATTTCTAGATATCACTTACGTATTTTTCCTTTAAGAATATGTCATTGGCTGGGCACGATGACTTATGCCTACAATCCCAGCACTATGGGATGCCAAGGTAGGTGGATCACGAGGTCAGGAGTTCGAGACTAGCCTGGTCAATATGGTGAAACCCTGTCTCTACCAAAAATATAAAAAAGTAGCTGGGTGCGGTGGTGTGTGCTTGTAATCCCAGCTGCTTGGGAGGCTGAGGCAGGAGAATCGCTTGAATCCGGGAGGCGGAGGTTGCAGTGAGCCGAGATTACACCAAGATAGGTCTCAAAAAAAAAAAAAAAAAAAAAGAGAGAAAGGGTCTTTGTAGATGCCATTCAGGTAAGAAACTTGATATGAAGAGATCACCTGGATTATCAGACTGGCCCTAAATCCAATATGTAGACTTACTTATTGGATAAGTAAGAAAAAGGCAGAAGATTTGGGAGACAAAGGACAAAAAGACATAGACACACTGATATGGCTTGGCTGTGTCCCCACCCAAATCTCATCTTGAATTGTAACTCTCATAATCCCTGCGTGTCATGGGAGGGACTTGGTCAGAAGTAATTGAATCATAGAGGCGGGATTTTCCCATGCTGTTCTCATGATACTGAGTAAGTCTCCAGATCTGATGGTTTTATAAAGGGCAGTTCCCCTGCACACACTCTCTTGCCTGCTGCCATGTAAGACATTCCTTTGCTCCTTCACTTTCTGCCATGATTGTGAGGCCTCCCCAGCCATGTGGAACTGTGAGTTCGTTAAACTTCTTTTTCTTTATAAATTACCCAGTCTCAGGTATTTCTTCATAGCAGTATGAGAATGAACTAACATATACACACAGTAGAAGACAATGAGAAGATGGAGGCATGGATTGGGGTGATGTGGCCACAAGCCAAAAAAGTCAAGGATTGCATACAGCCAGGAGGAGCTGGAAGAGGCAAGGAAGCATCCTCCCACAGACCCTCCAGAGGGAGTTCAGCCTTACCAATACCTGGATATTAGACTCTGGCCTTCAGAACCATAAAACAATAAATTTTATTTATTTATTATTTTTATTTTAATTTTTTTGAGATGGAGTCTCACTCTGTCGCCAGGCTGGAGTGCAGTGGCTTGATCTCGGCTCACTGCAACCTCCACCTCCCGGGTTCAAGTGATTCTTCTGCCTCTGCCTCCCGAGTAGCTGAGCTGACAGGCGCTCGCCACCAAGCCCAGCTAATTTTTGCATTTTTAGCAGAGACGGGGTTTCACCATGTTGGCCAGGATGGTCTCGGTCTCTTGACTTGGTGATCCACCTGCCTCGGCCTCCCAAAGTGCTGGGATTACAGGCATGAGCGACTGGGCCTGGCCAAATTTTTGTTGCTTTAAACCACCCAGTTGTGGCAGCCTCGGGAAGCTAACACAACTTCAAAATAATAATAGTAATAATAATAATAATAATAATAATAATAATAATAATAATAAGCTAAGGAAATGAAGCTAGTCACAAAAGACCACATATTAGATTATATTTATATGAAATATTCAGAAAAGGTTAACTCTGTAGGCAGAAAGCAGACTAGCAATTTCCAGGGGCTGAGATGGGAGAAGGAATTGACTAAATGGGTATGAGGGAAAGTTTTGGAGTGATAGAAATGCTCTAAAGATGAATTGTGGCTGGGTTCAGTGGCTCACACCTGTAATCCCAGCACTTTGGGAGGCCGAACTGGGTGGATTACCTGAGGTCAGGAGTTCGATACTAGCCTGGCCAACGTGGTGAAATTGCATTTCTACTGAAAATACAAAAATTAGCCAGGCATGGTGGTGGGCGCCTGTAATCCCAGCTACTTGGGAGGCTGAGGCAGGAGAATCACTTGAACCTGGGAGGCAGAGGTTGCAGTGAGCCAAGATAATGCCATTTCATTCCAGCCTGAGCAACAAGCATGAAACTCTGTCTCAAATAAAAAAAAAAAAATGATGGATTGTGGTGATGGATGTACAATTACAGAAATTTACTAAAATACTGAATTGCATGTCTACATTGGGATATTTTATATCATGTACGTTATACCTCAATAAAATTATTATTAAGAATAAAAACAAAAAATGTAGAAATAAATTTGACAGGGAATGTAAAACACTTATAAAAAAGAAAATTAAAATGATTTTTCTCCTTCTATTGGTATAGGAGCCATTCTTCACTAAGATGGGAAGTCCCAAAGGTATATTTCCTTATCTATGCATAGATACATATTTATACATAACATTAAAAATATATGGGCAAAGAAACCATAAATAAGATCAATTGAGAAAGTCACATACTTGAACATAGTTTTGATAAGATGACAAAACATGAATATTCCTGGTAACATAAGGTAATCTTAGACATTAACAAGGAATGGCAAATAATCTGATAGAAAAATAGCGAAAACATATGATGAGCAAAGACAAATGATGAATAAGTATATTTTTAAAGTGCATAAGCTGAATCATCATGAGAGAATGCAAATTCTCTCCCTGATGAGGTATCACTTTCTACTCCATCAAAGCAGGAAAATGATAGAGCAATAATACCTACTGTCCATGGGAATAACACCGGGGAAGAAGAATAATTTCATATATTATTTTTTTTTGTAGAACACTATGAACTGTTATCAGCCCATTTGAAAAGCAATCTTGTAATGTGTATTAATATAAGATATATTAATTATATATATTTTATAATATAATCTAATATACTTATACTTTTGACCTACTCTTAGGTGTTAATTTTATTGTAATTAAGGATCAGAACATATGATGTATGTATGAGATGCTTATTTTATAGTATGGTATGTAAAGGCAGCAAACTGGGGGAAAAGTAAACGCACCTCAGTGAAGGAGCTGGATGAATAAGTCTCACTATATCCATAACCATAGACTGTCCAGTCATTAAAAAAGAGATGGAGAATTAGGGGCTTATCAGTTGATTTGGAAATTCTACCAGTATTGCTGGATGAAAAAGGCAAGTTGCAGGCAAGTGTGTAAAATTTTAAAAGTTAAGTGTGTATACATATATACATATAAATGTAGGTGCATCCTTGTGTGCACATGTGTGTGTCTACTGCATCTTTCCATTATAAAAGTTTCATTTCCTTTTGTAATTAATAAGTAACCTGGGCCAGGCACGGTGGCTCATGCCTGTAATGCCAGCAATTTGGGAGGCTGAGGCGGGCGGATCACTTGAGGTCAGGAGTTCGAGACCAGCCTGGCCAACATAATGAAATCCCATCTCTACTAAAAAAATACAAAAATTAGCTAGGTGTGGTGGCATGCATCTGTAATCCCAGCTACTCCAGAGGCTGAGGCAGGAAAATCGCTTGAACCTGGGAGGTGGAGGTTGCAGTGAGCCAAGATCTTGCTACTGCACTCCAGCATGGGTGGACACAGTGAGACTCTGTCTCAAACAAAACAAAGCAAAGCAAAACAAAACAAAATAAGCACTCTGTTGGATGCTTCATTGAAGTTGAGTGAATCTCCTGTTCCCCAACTACTTTTCATCCGGTGGGTTTTGTATCCATTGACAACCTTTGCCTAAATCAATTATTACATTGGTAGTTACAAATGAACCTTATTTATGCTTTAAAATAAACTTTATTAAAATACGTTGAATAATTTTGTTGCATAGCAGGTTTTGAAGGCTGAATGATCTAAGTAATGGCTTCCTTTAACTTGGCCTGGGTAGACTAAAAATAAAGAGGCTGACTTCATGCTTGTTCATTTGCTCCATGACCAAACTGAATACAGCTGACATTTTCTGTTTTTTCTTAGACTATCCGACACTTCCAGAAAAAAAGTATAACATAGCCAATGAGACAAGTAAATTATACTTTTGATTTTGGCAGCTGGATCACAGTATCGATAAGTAAAACTTACCAGAATAAAATTATGATTTAGTCTATGATTTGACATTTGACAGTTGCTTTTTGAAGTTTCTGCCAAAGGTTGGTTCAATGATGTTACCCACAAGTAGTATTTTTCTGAGTGTGACATTAAAAATCTGTCCCCATAAATTAGGAAATTTCACAATACTGCATTTTTTACTGTCTGTTTATTGGTGTTAAATACTTAGATTCCTTGAAAATAAACTAAACTCTTCTGACTACAAGTGACTAGCACAATGTTAATTTATCTCAGTTCAGATTGCATCATTGAAAATCATTTTTTAGGAAAATCAACAGGCACATGAGAGAGCTTTAAGGTTTGTTCAAATGATAAGGTTTGTATTTTGTCCTCTCAAAGATTTAACTAAAAAGAATCAAGCAAGATAACTTTTTGCTTGAAATGAGAAGAACAGAAACAAAACCCCATGCTGTCCTATTGCAAATGGTTACTTTTGAAGTAATGTGGAAACTCTTAGCACAATCTAGACTCCTTAGTATTTTATCAATGAAAACACAGAATTAAAAAGTAAAAATTTTAATCAGAAAGTTTCACACAATTTAATCTCTTTAGAAACACTAAGAGATCTCACTGAGGAATTAAGTGTGTGGCTATTTTAACATCAAGAAAAAAATTTTTTGATATTTTTCTACTTTGAACCAAAGGTGATCTGAGGTTCATAAAGTTACATAAAGCAAAAGTTGTAGCAGACAAAATGAGGAACTCAACTTCAGAGGTTTGGGTTTTGGTCCCAGGCTTAGCTGTGTGGTAATCTCCTTAGCCACGGCATACTGAGTAGTAAAAGAGGCAGTTGAATTAGGGGAAAGATTATAATCTAATTTCCTGTTTAAAATTTGATACTGTTAGGTAAGTGATGCTTGCATTTAGAAAAATGATACGATGTGATTCATTCATTAAAAAAGTATGCACTATGCACAACTGTGTGGCAGGCATCGATCTAGGAACTGGGAATATAGATTACCTGCCCTCTCAAATATGAAAGAAGTACAGATATATCCTGTGAACATAATAAACATTTAATAAATCTTGTCTCATAACATGTGTTATATTCATTCAATAAATCAACACCCTTGTCCATCTTTTCACTGGAACCGTTACTGTCACCAATAACCTCCATGTTGCCAAGTCTTAATATCAATTCACAGTTTTCATCAGCTTAACTTGTCTGTAGCATTTGACCCAGTTGCTCATTCCCTCCTTGAGGAACTTTTCCTTCTTGGTTACCATGACACTATTCTATGGATCCACTATCTCAATGGCTTCTTCTTTTAAATTTTTACTGATTCTTCCCATTCCTCCTGATCTCTAAATGTTGGGGATCTCCAAAATTCTATTGTTGAGACTTATTCTCTATTTATTCCCTAAGTGATTTTTATGTAGTCCTTTGGCTTTGACTGTAACTGACATTTCCAAATTCATATCCTCAGCTGTACCTCTCCCCTGAACTCCAGTCTCATGTCAAATACCTATTATATACCTACTTAGAATAAAATTCATATGCCGGCCAGGTGCAGTGGCTCAAACCTGTAATCCCAGCACTTTGAGAGGCTGAGGTGGGCGGATCATATGAGGTCAGGAGTTCGAGACAGCCTGGCCAGCATGGTGAAACCCCATCTCTAGTAAAAATATAAAAATTAGCTGGGCGTGGTGGCGCACCTGTAATCCTAGCTACTCGAGATGCTGAGGCAGAAGAATCACTTGAACCCAGGAGGCGGAGGTTGCAATGATCTGAGATTGCCTCACTGCACTCCAGCCTGGGCGACAGAGTGAGACTCTGTCTCAAAATAAATGAATAAATAAATAAACAAAATCCAAATGCCTATCTTTCCTCTGCTCACTCTGAGACTCCAATATTTGCATGAGGAGATACATTGGCAAGTGTGTTTGGGATCAACATCTGTGATAAATGAGGTTGAAGGAAAAAGTATTGAGAAACAGGAGAAGTTGTACTGTTGATGCGATTGCAACAGAGACCTCAGTTCCTCCTACAGAGAGTTCTGGAGCTGGGATGGACCCTCAGAATTGTTCCAGTTGAGGCAAGAGAGATCTGTACCACTGTATGAACCAGTTACTGGATATATGCTGTCCCTAGAAAGGGGCAAAACCCTGGGCAAAGCAGCTTCCTTCTACCAAAACCAAGTCCAGGAGAGGACATAGCTGTGAGCCCTCGGCAGTCAACATTCATGCCAGCTGGGGAAATGAGTTCCTCATCCTAAAGCGGGAACTGGGTGTCACAGCACAGCTTCTACAATCACCCGTATCTGGTAGCATCTCATCTGCATTGCTTTCCTTCTCTTACGTAGCTTTATTTTTTTCCCCTCAAAGTATATACCATGTGTTTTACTTATTTGCTCACTTATTATTCCCTAATAGAATATGACACTATGAGAGCAGAAACTTTCTTTTTTTCTTTCTTCTTTAATCCTGTATTCCCAGTATCTAGAAATAGTGTCCAGAACATAATGGGTGTTCAATGAATATTATTCAATGAGTAAATAGATATACTACTTGCTTACTAAATGCCAGGAACTATGCTATATTTAGGGAATACAGACATGAACAAGACAGACTCAGTCACTCCACTCATGAAGCTTATGATCAAATATAAATCATGTATACATGGCCGTGCACGGTGGCTCACGCCTGTAATCCCAACACTTTGGGAGGCTGAGGCGGGCGGATCATGAAGTCAGGAGATCGAGACCATCCTGGCTAACACGGTGAAACCCCGTCTCTACTAAAAATACAAAAAAAAAAAATTAGCCGGGCGTGGTGGCGGGCGCCTGTAGTCCCAGCTACTCGGGAGGCTGAGGCGGGAGAATGGCGTGAACTGGTGAGGCGGAGCTTGCAGTGAGCTGAGATGGTGCCACTGCACTCCAGCCTGGGTGACAGAGCGAGACTCCGTTTCAAAAAAATAAATAAATAAATAAAATAAATAAATAAAAATAAATGATTAAATCAATAAATCATGTATACATATGGCACACATGTTTAAAATATGTATACATGTGCCATAATTTAAAAAGTATAATCACAGCCAAACACTGTTACTTACTTAGTATTTTACTAATCTGTATAGATTCAGCACATCTGATGGTCTATCATACAAAAATGTTTATTGAATGACAGAATCAGAAGAGTATAGAAACGCTGGAGACTTTAGAGAGTTACTTATTGTTTCTGATAAATTTTTTTTTTTTTTTAGGCGGAGTTTCACTCTTGTTGCCCAGGCTGGAGTGCAATGGCGCAACCTTGGCTTACCGCAACCTCCACCTCCTCGGTTCAAGTGATTCTCCTGCTTCAGCCTCCCGAGTAGCTGGGATTACAGGCATGAATTACCACGCCTGGCTAATTTTGTATTTTTAGTAGAGATGGGGTTTCTTCATGTTGGCTAGGCTGGTCTTGAACTCCTGGCCTCAGGTGATCTGTCCTTCTCGGCTTCCCAAAGCACTGGGATTAAAGGCGTGAGCCACTGCGTCCAGCCTGTTCCTGCTAATTTTTTTGGAAGGAAAAGCTACATCACTGGGACACATTTTTTGTCAGTCTAGGAGAACTGAATAAAGGACAATATAAGAGAAAGACTAAAAAAAAATTGAATACTTACTTAACTAGAATTTTTATTAACCAACATCCTGTTCTCCAAAATGTTGGAGAGCAAGGCTATAATTGTATCTAAATAGATAAAGGATAAGATGTTTTGTAATGAGTGGATAATTTATAGTTACTTTATACATACAAATATAATTTTTCCATTACTTTAGTTTCAGTGACAGTTAAAATGTAGTAAGGACTAGGAAATAACACTTAGGGCTTTTATGTCATTATTGTGGAATCACAGACATCTTTTTAAAAGCAGCCTATCTCTCTAAAAGCTATGTGTTCTGTTCTCTAGAGCACGTTTTATTTTCTTTCACAATGAACTAAATAATTTTGCCTTACAGAACTTCAGCAAGATAAATCACCGTTCCCCCTTTGCTTATTTTACTGAAAATGTGAAAGTCTTTCACTGTGTATTTTCTATGTGGTAGTGAACATGACAACCAACATTTCAGTTTTTGGTTTGTTGTAAACAAGATACTTGGCATTTCTAGAATACCTTGCATAGGAAATCTCAAATTACACTATACTTACGAATTCACTCATGTCTTTAATAACTTGCACATCATTGTTGCAATGCATGCTGGGCAAGCCAGGTCTGAGTGAGTCAATGCCCTATCTTCTATGCACCACTGCATCCCAGGAACAAAGTAAGCCTTGAGGAAGATTCCAGTCCATAAGAATTTCTACCTTAAAAGTGAAAAAAAAAAAAAAAGAAACAAGATTTCTTTTTTCATGCTCATGGGGTGATAAAACCACTGGGTCCCACTGTTCTCTTCAGACAGTTTTATGCAGTCCTCTATTAAAATAAAATTTAGATTTCTGATGAATATCTTAACTTCCTTTTTTTTTTTTGAGATGGAGTCTTGCTCTGTCGCCCAGGCTGGAGTGTAGTGGCACCATCTCAGCTCACTGCAACCTCTGCCTCCCAGGTTCAAGCAGTTCCCTGCCTCAGCCTCCTGAGTAGCTAGGATTACAGGCGTGCACCACCACACCCAGCTAATTTTTGTATTTTTAGTAGAGACAGGGTTTCACCATCTTGGCCAGGCTGGTCTTGAACTACTGATCTCATGATCCACCTGCCTCGGCCTCCCAAAGTGCTGGGATTACAGGCGTGAGCCACTGCGCCTGGCCAACTCTCCATTTTATACCAATTTACTGAGATGTCACTTCTATTATTGGATATCTTTTTGAAAAGAATACATGACTGATAGCCCAGAGTTTTGGTGTACACATCTAGTTTGATGAGATCATTGCTCTGATGGCCAATGCAGGTGGCAAAGTCCTTACAGCAGATTTTCCAGGGCACAATAAATACTAGAATTTCACAAATTATCCTTGCTGATGATTAATTAATTCTCCTCTTGTAAGTGGAGGTGATAACAGTACCTCTAAGCCAGAAGGGATGCTTCAGCCCCTTCATTTTAGAGCCAATGGTATTTCATCAAAAGAGCTGATAAGCCATAGATGGTTAAGTGCCATAGAATGTTACAGGAAATAATCTCTTACCATGAACTCAAATGTACAAATTTGTGTCATTTGAACACATGCCATGAAGACATGGCCGAAGCAGTTCTAACTTGCCTCATACGCTTGTCCTGTATCTCTCACTCTACCTGTATCTCTGTCTCTCTTCTGGCCATCTCTCACCGTCTCATTCTTCATCTGTTTTTTTTGAGCCTACCTGCTTCCATCTTTTATTTTTCCTTGTTTTTGATCTTTTTCTTTCTTTCCTCATTTCAGGTTGCTCACATGAGCTGACTGGAAAGTGTATTTCAAGTGTACATTTTATCATTTCTGACATTTTTCCTATAAAAATTTTCTTTCCCTGCTAACAGATTTAAAACCAGAGTGTAAAATTCTTAAAATTTGCTTGATTTAAAAGCATTTCAATTCCATGTAAATCTTGATTTGTAGTTTAAGTTGAAAAAAGATTACTTACTTCAGGTTATTAATTTCTCAAAGAATACATGCTTGCATATGGTAGGTGTCCAATAAATGATTGTTGGATGAATGTTAAGTGTGTGTGTGTGTGTGTGTGTGTGTGTACACTGAATTCTTAAGAGGGAACTTAATAGGTGTTCTTGCAGTACCTCCCAGACACAGCTAGGCATTCATTAAGACATAAAACTCCAACAACTCCAAAGGGTGCTGCTTATCTGTTTTTGTTCATCCGGGTATCAGAATCTTGATAGCAATGGTCAGGTAGAATCCACCTGGAAGAATTTCTATGCATAGCTACCTAGAGGAGTTGTTTGATCAGAGATCATATGAACACTCAAAAGCATGTGTTGAGAACTACATATACTTCATCTTACATGCTGCTGTTCAATGAACTCCGAAATAGTGCTTCTCTAATTATATGTGCATGTGATTCCCCTGGGGATCTTGTTAAAATGCAAGTTCATATTCAGTATGTCTGAGGCAAAGCTTGAGATGCTGCATTTCCAACAAGCTCCCAGGTGATAATGTGGCTGGTCCATGAATCACACTTTGAGCAGTTTGAGAGTTTAAAGGTAATGGGGGTTTGTAACAGAACTTTTGTTATCTCCCTTCTGTTTCTTCTCATTAAGAAACTGGTTGATAAGTCTCAGCTAGTGAGAGCCTGGCCTCACTACTGATGACAGTATTGTCTTCTATCCTCTGGCCTGTCTTGGGGTGTCTGTGTTTGCTGCAGGTCTTTGTTATTAATGACTTGAAGTCCTTAATATCGACTTGTTAACTCTGGGAACAACTGCTGGCTGCTAATTTGTGCACCATTTGGATGCTGGTTCTGTCTGGCAATTACATTCTCCATAGCACCAGTTTTCTTTGTTTTGCTGCAGAAGTAGACAGTGGGGTGTGGGGGAGTGAGAAGAATTATGTCTTGCCTCATGTGTCAGCTGCATAGCACTGTAACACTTCCTGTGTAATATCAGTGGTGGTTTGGAGCATTACCCTCAAACAGTGTGGGTCTCATTGAATTCTCAGAGCAACTCAGAAATATGTAGAATTATTATATAATTTCCATCTTATAGCTGTCAGATTCACAGTGGTTCAATAACTCCAACAAGATGACAAGGGTAGTAAAGGGCAGAATTGGAATTTTTACCCCTATATTGTGACTCCAAGTTCAGTGTTTTCTATTTCACCTTGCTGTGAATAATTATCATAATAGGAAGATGGACTATTCATTTATGGAGGGGAGAGGTGGTATCTGTAAGTCTTTATATATCCATAAATTTATTTTTCTTTGGTTGTACATTGGCCCACTACAATACCTGCCTACTTTTATGAAGAGTTAGCACCAAGAACAGCTTGAAAATCTTGGTAGTCTGTTGACTTCAGTTTGAGAAAGATTGTTTCTTGGTTTTGAGATAAAATGAAATAATATATATAAATGGAGAATGAAGAGGAGAAAACAATGAGGATAAATAAAGATGTAGCATTGTCCTCCTCTCCATTTTTCTTCTTCCTTTTTTTTTTTTTTCCTGCATTCTGCTATGGAAAATAAGGCAGTTCTGTAGGCATCTAGGGCCTTGTCTCCAACCACCTTAGGTACATTTATTAATCTTTGAGACATTTTCTACATCTTGCTAAGAACCAGTAATTCTTCTAGAGGTCTATAACTGTCAATGGTCAAATTATTCCTACTCTAAAATACACAATATTGCTTACATTCACATTTAGATGATTTGCTTTGGGGTGGCCGAATGGACTGGGGATTTGATTTAAAGACAAATGAGTATATTTGCATTTAGTGTTTCCTTCTTGGAAAATTATAGGGGGAAAAGAATCAGGCAATTGCTATAATTACTACATTGATGGTTCAATGGGGGCAAAAATGTAATCCACTACAAATTGGAAAGTCTGAAAAAAGGGGCTTTTAAAAGAAAAATTTTTCTATAAATGATTTCTTTATTCTATGAACAGCTAGGAGGAGACATAAACTTGTCAGTTAAAGAGTTCTTTTAGCAATATCTTTAGTTTAAAGCAGACACTTGGGTTAATTTGTACATTTTGGGTAAATATGCAGTGTTTCTGAGTTCACTCCCTTTCCAGGTCTTCTCACCAACATTGTATCTGGCTATAGATGGAATCCGCGCGGTACTGGAGGTCGGGCAGGGAGAGGGGTCACTAGTCCTTGGATTATCAGATTAAAATAGGCCCTTGATGGTCTCCAGGATAATGTCTCTTTTCCCTCTCAGTTATAGGGAACCCTGCTGATATCTGCTACTGACGTTCATGGTTGTGAAACTTATGCTCATTCTCTTGATTCCACCAGGACCTTAGGCTGTTGCTGGTAGTGCAGGTCCTTTAGTTGCGGCAAAAGCTGACAGAGTTGGGAAAGTTTATTCTAACTCCATGCCTCGGTGGCCCTATGGCAGGTTCACTGGCTCTCTACTCAGCCATCCCTAACAAGACTATGTGGGGACTCATGAGTCCCTTCTACTTCACATGGGAGACACGAGAGACCTTATGGGCACTTTTCCAACCTTCTTTCCACCTTCATCTGTTCCTCAGCTACTTCTAAGCAGCTTGGACAGTTCCATACTAAAGCTCTGGTTCCTCTAAAGGACTTGAATTTATTTCAGTGTCTATCCGAAGAAGTTAGGAAAGGCTCCCTGCTCTGGAAAAACCTCCAAACATATCTGATTATCTCCATCTACACACTTGATTTGATCCAAAAGGTGGGCAGAGAGAATGCTAACTTGTATAGGTCTTGGTATGTGTCGAATTGTGTTCCCTAAAAAGATATATTGAAGTCCTATATTATCTATTGAACCCTTAGTATCTCAGAATGTAATGTTATCTGGAAATAGGATCATTGGAGATGTTGTTAGTTAAGATGAGGTCATACTGGAATAGTTTGGGCCTTTAATCCAATATGACTGGTGCCTTTATAAGAAGATGAAAGATGACCTGTTAAGGCAGAGTCACAGAGAGAGACCATTGCGTGACAACACAGGCAGAAATTGGAGCGATGCAGCGGCAAGCCAAGAAATGCAAAGGCTCGATGGCCATTATTAGAGGCTAGGAAGAGTCAAGGAAGGATTGCAGCTAGAGTCTCAGAGGGAGCACGTTCCTGCTGACACCTTGATTTCAGACTTCTAGCCTATGGAACTGTGCAAGAATAAATTTCTGTTGTTTTAAGCCACCCAGTTTGTGGTACTTTGTTATGGCAGCTTTAGGAAACTAATACAGTTCCCTTATGAAAATTAGAAAGTGAGATCTTTCAGAAAGATATCCTTGGACAAGGGCTGCCAATCTTGGTAAGTGAAACAAGGCTTGGATACCCACCCTCACTTGACTCCTTGAATAAACACTGCACAACCAAGTACAGTGGCCCTGGAATCAGAAGCTAAGACCCAAATATCTGAATGCTTCTTTTCTTCTACTTCCCTTATCTTTTTATTTCCTCCTCAAAGAGTTTGTACTTCCCCTTTCTCTCTAGGTAGACATGAACTTCTGTTACATCATATCCTGAGTTACTGCCATGGTTCATGTTAGAGCTCTGTGGACTGAGTCAATTGTGGCTGGCTATTAAGACAGTCTTGCTACGAATTAAAGATAGATAGATAGATAGATAGATAGATAGATAGATAGATAGATAGACAGACATTAAACTTAGCCATGACTATTTTCTTTATCTCAGTTATCGATTGCTACATAACAAATTGCCACAAAACTTAGTAACTTAAGACAACAAACATTTGTAATCTTCCACAGTTTCTGAGGGTCAGGAATCGGAGACCAGCTTGTCTGAGTGGTTCTGACTCAAGGTCTCTCCTGAGGTTTTAGTCAAGCTGTCACTCAGGGCTACAGCCTCTGAAGACTTGACTGGGACTGGAGGATTTGTTTCCAACGTCATACACATGGCTGTTGGCCGGAAGCTTCAGTTCTTCACCATTGGGCCTTTCTGTAGGGCTGGTCATGACCTGGCTTCCCCCAGAACTAGTGATCCAAGAGAGACGCAGTGACCAAGACAGGAGCTGCAATCTTGGGAGTGACATAGCATCACTTCTGCCATGTTCCACCGGTTATACGACTCTAGTACAATGTGGGAGAGACTACACAGGGTGGAATACCAGGAGGTGGGGATCATCAGCGTGGTCTTGGAGGCCATCTACCATGCTGTCCTACCAGTGTTCCTCACTGAGAGTAGCACTGAAGTTAGGGTAGGACAAATCTTTGTTGGGTAGGACTGCCCTAGGCATTGCTGGAGATTTAATGTCCCTGACCTTCACCCACTAAATGCCAGCAGCATTCCACAGACCTGTGACAATCATAAGTGACCGTGAACATTTCCCAGATGGGTGGTATTCACCCCCACCTGACAGCCTATCTGCTATTTGAGTCAGAAGGACTTAGGCTTTGGAAGTTAATATAAATGTAAACATATCAATTTATTATTTTCAAAAATATTACAACCATTACACTGGCATCTTCTCATAGGGTTTGAAGTAATTAAGGGATTTCCAGTCCTATAAGACAGGCCTATAGTTTGAAAGAGCACTGAACTCGGAGTCATAAAATGTACACTTAGTCTCACTTCTCCCTTTTGGTAGCTGACAGCCGGGAGCAAGTTATAAAACTCTCTGAGCCTTGCTTGTGAATGGGAGGTAATACTACTTACCTCACAAAGTTCTCAAATAAGAAGGTTCTATAAATAGGGTAAAGAGAGTGAAGCATCCTTGAACCACACATGGGCTGACTCCTTTCAGAGAAACGAGAGTGTCCCAGTCCCTAGAGGCTGCTGTGGTTTCCAGTAGGAGAGTCAGAGGAACCAGCGAATCCCCATGGACCAATGTAATGGGCCAAGATTCCCTTAACAGGACAATCCATGCAAGCCTTGGTTTACTTCTTCACAGAGGCAGGAGTTTTCCTAGCTACAAGATGACTACTAGGCTTTATTTTGGTGAGAACTCTATATTCCTTCTATTTTGTTGCCTTTCCTGGTCTTTGGCCAAGGTATGACTCGTGGGACAACCATAACATTTTCTCCCATTTTACTCCTCTGTTCTGGATTTCCTTTTCCCACTGCTCCTCTCCTCCTAAGCCTTGGCATTTTCCTTTTGGAAAGTGATCATCTCCCTCCCTGTACTTCTGTCTGCACTTTTACTCCACTCCCTTGACATCCGGCTCACTCGTGAACTTGGTGCTTCCCCTCTAGTCTTCTCAAATTGTCTTTCCATCAAAACATGGAGGCAAAACTCTTCCACCCGCAGCTGTCTACATTTTTTTCTGTTCCTGGGCTGGGAGGCACAGCTGGAGAAAATCACCGAACTTTCTGGAAGGGTATCCTACAAATGAACTCCCACATGCCCTGTGCCATCAGCACTGCCTGATGCTCCTGTTTTCTTGGTCAGCTCTCTCCCTTCCATCTCCACAGCATCGATTATGAGACTTTTCCTCATTGAACTGAAGCCATCTATTTCTTTCCTTCATACTTCTACCTCACCCCTTACCTTCAAATAACTTTGCCTGCTCCTTCACAAAAAATTAGAAGCCACAGATGAGAACACACACAATTTCCTGCCATGTCTTTCACCATCTTACCTGTCCCTATACCTGCACTTACCTTCCCCTAAGACTAACCCTTCCATCTAAACTTAGGCTCTCATCACCTTGGGCCTTCTCATGTACTTCCTTCCGGCATGTATCCCCACTCTTCTACATTTCAACCTCAAAATTTTCACACGATCCTTCCCATTTTTAAGTATCCTCAAGTCTCTTTCTTTTTAAAAAATCCTCCTAACTCTTCTTTTCTCCCGCTTGCCCTACACTTTTCTCCTATCACACTCCTCCCCCTCAGAGCCCGAGTTCTTGAAATAACTGTCCACATTCTCTGTGGCTTCCTCATGTCCCTTTCCTCTCAACTGACAGCAATCTGCTTCTGCCCACACCTTTCCTCAGAAACTGCTCTCATTTGGTCCCAAGCCACCTCCCTATTGCTACATCTAATAAACAGTTCTCATTTCTTATCTGACTTGAGCTCTCAACATTTGACGCTGTTTACCACTTCCTTCTGTGCTTGGAATGCTCTCTTCATTTGCCTTCTATTAAGCCACATTCTCCAACTTTCCCTCCTCCATCTCTGGCTGCTCCTTCTCAGTCTCCTTTCCGACAACTTTTCCTTTGCCCTTCTATTTAACTCAGTGTGACCTCTCTGAGTTTGACCCTCTTCTATTCTCCGGACACATTCTCTCCCTTGGTGATCTTGTTCATTCTTGTAGCTCCAACGATTTATTGCTGATGACCCCTGAACTTGTGCCAATGGCCCAGAAGGCTGTCCTGAGCTTCAGACTTAGGTTTCGGATCGCTTGGATGTTTACATCTAGATTTCCCACAGGCACCTCTACTCAATTGGACTGCAATTAAGTTCTTGTCTCCATTTCCCAGCTAAAATCTGCTCCTTTTGCTGGGCATCTCCTGACCCTTCTCCCTCCCTGACACACTTGTCCAATTGGTACCCAAGTCCTGAAGATTCCACCTCCCCAAGAGAGGTCTCACCTCCGAGGGCATAACTCCACTTGGACCATCACTAGCTTTGATCATTTCTTCTCTTCGGATCACCACTGCTGCCTCCAAACAGGTCTCTTGGTTTTCAGTTTTCACATCAAATCCAAGGGGATCTTTCTGAATCTCTAATTATGTCCCGTCCGTTCACCCTGCTTAAAATTCTTCATCAATCCCCTCTTGTCCTCAGGATGTAAGGCTTTCTCACAGTCTGGTCTCTCCCACCTGTGTCTTGCCAGTGCCACCCCCCACCTATCCTTCAACTACACTGAGTTATTTGTAGTTCTGTAAGATTGCTTGCTATGTCTTGCCTCTGCACTTTTGCACATGCTTTCTCCTGTTTTGCTTTGTTTTTCCCCCCCATTTTTTGAGTTAACTCCTATTAATCACTTCTTCCACAATGTCTTTGATGACCTTCATGGAACATAGTTACATGTTGCTCCCATCCTCCATTGTGTTACCCCGTTTGCCCCTGATACAGCACTGATTGTGCTTTCATTGTCCATCTACCCTTAAACATTAGGAACCTTTCAGAAAGAGACCCTGTTTTCTTTGTAGTTTTAACTTTAGAGTCTGGAACAGTACATGGTGCATATTGGGAGCTCAATAAAGACTTATTTATTTATTTATTTATTTATTCTGTGACAGAGTCTGGCTCTGTGGCCAAGGCTGGAGTGCAGTGGCACAATCTCGGCTCACTGCAACCTCCGCCTCCTGGGTTCAAGCAATTCTCCTGCCTCAGCCTCCCAAGTAGCTGTGATTACAGGTGTTCGCCACCAGGCCTGGCTAATTTTTGTATTTTTAGTAGAGACGAGGTTTAGAACTGGTCTAGAACTCCTGACCTCAGGTGATCTGCCTGCCTCAGGTTTTCAAAGTGCTGGGATTACAGGTGTGAACCACTGCACCCAGCCTCAATAAATACTTATTAAATGAAGAAATGAATGATGCTATTAATATGTATCATGTGACACTTATAAATATTATTATAGTTGAATTTGAGCTTGAGATGAGGGGACTGTTAGGGAGATGGATGAATTTAAAAATCATAAAGAACCAAAGAAGGCCAGAAGCAGTGGCTCACGCCACTTAGAGAAGTCACTGACCTTGGTGTCACTATTTCAAAGATGATATTAAAGACAAGGGATGGGCATAGAAGGAAGAAATAATTGCTTTCTGGTTTTCTTTTCACAATACAGGTGAGAAAAAAAAGTAAAACATTCAAAAAGAAGAGGACAAAATACTCTAAAAAATGCAGTAGTTTCCTAGGTTGAAGTTTCAGAAATATTTAATGTTTAGAATTCTCTATGTTTATCTAGGTGGAGATCTTGAAACAAACAGGCTTATTACTTTGTTCTGCAGGTTAGGAAAAAACACAAATTGCTGGGCATAATGATGCATGCCTGTAATCCCAGCACTATGGGAGGTTGAGGGGGGAGGATGGCTTGAGGCAAGGAGTTTGAGACCACCCTGGACAGCATAGCAAGACCCCATTTCTACAAAAATTAAAAAATTAGCTTGATGTGGTGCTGTGCACCTGTAGTTCTAGGTACTTTGGAGGGTTAGGTAGGAAGAATGCTTGAACACAGAAGATTGAGACTTAAGTGAGCCATGATCATATTCCAGCTGCGTAACAGAATGAGACCCCATTGGTAAAAAAATTAAAATAAAAAAAATTCAATGAAATAAAAACTAAATCAATATATTTTCTACTGACAACATCCCTCACCTGCCTTATTTGTTTAAGAGTGTACTGTTACTAGTAACACCCACACACTAGTTAATGAAACACTATTATGCAAGAATCTAAGGAATCTAAGAATCTAATGGAAAAACAGCCTGATATTAACAAATAAATATAAACGACTCTTCTGAGTTGCAGCCACACATACTTTCCACTGCACCTCAGTTACCCAACAGATTTAATTTCTATCTGGTTTGTCTTCAGAACTGGGGAGGAGAAATCCTGGATTTGGCAGGCGCTGAGCTTGGAACCCACACTCACTCCAGCAGTGTTATTGGTTCAGTCCTTGAGGCCAGTAACACTTCCAGCCCCAGGGAAACCTTGGTTCCAAACTTTTCCATCATTCCACAAAGGAGTTCTTTCTGCAAGAGGTTTTGGCTGTTTTTGAAGCTTTCTCTAATTCTGTCTTTTAAAAAGCAGTTTGTAGGGTTGGAACATTGCAGGGTTTTTTCCTCCCTCTTCACCCAGATGTTTCTGGTTCTCAGGATGTACACCTGTGATTCTGGGTCACTTGGGAGAAATGTCTGAGTTTTATTTACAGCAAAGAATGTGATCCTCACATGCAAATGTTTAAAATGGTCATTTTGTTCTCAGGGACCAACTGCAAGACCTGCTAGGAAAGTACTTGTAGAAAATGTTAAGGTCAAAATCATCTGATCATTAAACATGTTTTGAGTGCCTGCTCTGATTCCCTAGCACTATTCTAAGTACTGGGAATACAGTGGTGAAAAAAAAAAAAAAAAAGAAGAAATTAAAAAAGAGAAAAAAACTCTGCTTTAGTTAAAGAAAAAGGTGGGGGGAAAACGAATAATATACAAAAAAATAACAAAAAGGTACATATGCAGTTTGTTAGATGAAATTGTCCTGAAGTTCAAAAGATAAATTTATATATGGAGATGGCTGCTTTTACCATGGAGGTGATCTCCTTGCTTAGATGAGAGATGAGATATGCAGAGTGTGTGGCATAATATCTGACACATAGTAGGTCCTCTCCTCAGTAATATGAGTTCCTGTTCTTTTCCTAGCTTGACTTACCAATCCAATGAAAGTATTTTTGCCTTCTGTCTTACAATCATCTTTAACATTTCATTCACAGCAATCTATGCTTTTTCTAGCATGTACCTCAAAACAAACTCTTCCAGCCTCTACCTATTACCCAGTTCCAAAGCTATTTCCACATTTTTAGGTATTTGTTATGGCAACACTCCACTGTCTTAGTCAGTTTGGGCTCTATAACAAAGTACTATAGACTGGGTGGTTTATAAGCAACAGAAATTTATTTCTCAAGGTTCTGGAGTCTAGAGTCTGGAAGTCTGAACCCAGTCCAGTATTGTTGGGGTCTGGTGAGAGTTCTTTTATGGGTTGCATACTGCTGTCTTCTCCTTATATCATCACATGGCAGGAAGAGAAAGAGAGAGCTACCTAGGTCTCTTTTTCTTTCTGTCTTTCTTTTTTTTTTTTTTGAGACAGAGTCTCACTCTGTCGCCCAGGCTGTAGTGCAGTGGTGCGATCTCAGCCCACTGCAACACCCACCTCCTGGGTTCAGGTGATTCTCCTGCCTCAGCCTCCCGAGAAGCTGGGATTACAGGTGCCCGCCACCATGCCTGGCTAATTTTTGTATTTTTAGTAGAGAAGAGGTTTCACCATATTGGCCAGGCTGGTCTGGAGCTCCTGACCTCATGATCCGCCTGTCTTGGCCTCCCAGTGTGCTGGGATTAGAGGCGTGAGCCACTGCGCCCAGCCCCTGGGGTCTCTTTTATAGGAGTTCTACTCCCATTCATGAGGGCTCCATCCTTCTGACCTAATTACCTCCCGAAGTCCCTGCCTCATATACCATCATACTTGGAGCTAGGATTTCATCACATAGATTTCGAGGGACACAAACGTTCACTCAACGACACAGACTAAGAATTAGTATTATAAGACTCACTTCTAGAAAAGTATTGCCGCGGCTGGGCCTGGTGGCTCATGCCTGTAATCCCAACACTTTGGGAGGCCGAGGTGGGCAGATCGCCTGAGGTCAGGAGTTAGAGACCAGCCTGGCCAACATGGAGAAACCCCATCTCTACTAAAAATACAAAAATTAGCTGGGTGTGTGGCATATGCCTATAATCCCAGCTACTTGGGAGGCTGAGGAGAATCGCTTGAACCCAGGAGGTGGAGTTTGCAGTGAACTGAGATTGCACAACTGCACTCCAGCCTGGGTGACAGAGTGAGACTCCATCTCAAAAAAAAAAAAAAAAAAGAAAGAAAGAAAGAAAAAGCATTGCCTAACTTTGATCTAGAGAGATTTATTTTAGGTAAAGCCATGATGGAAAAATTCATATCATCAATGAATTATTTAGAATAAGTCACTTAACTTATTCTAAATAACTTTCACAATAAAGATCATCAAAAAACTACTGCCTACACAGCACAGTGATAGGCATTAGGAACCCAGAAATTAATAAGCCACTACTTTTGCTCTCAGGAGCAATGGGCAACAGTAACTCTAAAAATGAGGTGGTGTAAGATAAAGTCCAATAGACAAATACAAAATAAAGTATTTTGAGAGTCCAAAGAAAGACAAGTTATTTTTGCATTTGGAGGGAGAAAGGAAGTAGAGGATTAGGAGGAACTTCAACAGGGAGATAACATCCCCAAGATGAGCTGTGTAAGACTGCACAGTTTGAGGGGCAGGGAGGGAAGCTGAGACTGCACAGTTTGAGGGGCAGGGAGGGAAGCTGAGACTGCACAGTTTGAGGGGCAGGGAGGGAAGCCAGGAAGAACTCTGGAATGTGTAGGCCGCATGAGTTGTTCAGTTTGCCTAAAACACAGGGTGCATAAAGGGTGTGGTGGGAGATAGGCCTGGAAGAGGGGCTTAGGATCACAACATGAGTGCCTTCACCAGTGGAATGAGGGTTGATATTTCATGTGGCTAGCACTATGACACATTCTGAGACTTTTGAGTCTTACTTTCTTACATCATTGTGTATCTTTAAGAGATGACTCTTTCTTTCTTTCTTTTTCTTTTTTTTTTTTGAGTCGGAGTCTCACTCTGTTGCCCAGGCTGGAGTGCAATGGCGTGATCTCAGCTCACTTCCACCTTCTCCTCCCGGGTTCAAGCAATTCTCCTGCCTTAGCCTCCCGAGTAGCTGGGATTACAGGCACCCACCACCACGCCTGGCTAATTTTTGTATTTTTAGTAGAGACAGGGTTTCACCATGTTGGCCATGCTGGTCTCGAACTACTGACCTTGTGATCCGCCTGCCTTGGTCTCCCAAAGTGTTGGGATTACAGGCATGAGCCACTGCGACCAGCTTTTTGTTTTGTTTTGTTTTTTTTTTTTGAGGCTGTGTCTTGCACTCTCGCCTAGGCTGGAGTGCAATGGCGTGATCTTGGCTCACTGCAACCTCTGCCTCCCAGTTTCAAGCAATTCTCCTGCCTCAGCCTCCCGAGTAGCTGGGAATACAGGCGTCTGCCACCATGCCCGGCTAATTTTTTGTATTTTAGGTGGAGATGGAGTTTCACTATGTTGGCCAGGCCAGTCTCAAACTTGTGATCTGCCCACCTTGTGATCTGCCCACCTTGGCCTCCCAAAGTGCTGAGATAACAGGTGTGAGCCACCGCGCCCGGCCAAAAGATGACTCTTTACAGTAACTCTTGGCATTGTGTTTAGGTCAATTGATTTTTTTGGGGGGGGTTGTCGGGTATTCCATTGTTCATTTGTTGTTTTGTTTTATTTTTCTTTGTTTGTTTTGAATTAGAGGCTCAGCAGTGAAGTTCGTCTTGCAATTTTATCAAGACTGTTTTGAAGGGAGGGGGGTCCTTCCCTCTTCCACTGGTAAAGTATGAGGACCTTTATAGGTGTGTACAGTGAATCATAAGGATTCATTTGCAACCAGTAAAAGAACCTAGGGCTTGATAGACCACTCATTCCCACATGTAAAGAAACTCTCTAGATTTGAAAAATATTGCTTCCAAGACTTAAAAGTTTTTTTAAAACAGGCAGTACATTTTCTGAGTGACTATTAATAAGATATTAAAAGCCAACAGGAAGGATGGATTTTCAACTCCAATATGGAAGGGGAGCAGAGGTCAGAGAAACAGACTCAGAGAACGGGAAAGATTGAAGGACATTTGACTTTAGGTTGACTTTTTTTTTTTTTTTTTTTTTTTTTTTGAGACGGAGTCTCGCTCTGTCGCCCAGGCTGGAGTGCAGTGGCGGGATCTCGGCTCACTGCAAGCTCCGCCTCCCGGGTTCACGCCATTCTCCTGCCTCAGCCTCCCAAGTAGCTGGGACTACAGGCGCCCGCCACTACGCCCGGCTAATTTTTTGTATTTTTAGTAGAGACGGGGTTTCACCGTTTTAGCCGGGATGGTCTCGATCTCCTGACCTCGTGATCCGCCCGCCTCGGCCTCCCAAAGTGCTGGGATTACAGGCGTGAGCCACCGAGGTTGACTTTTGAGAAGTGAACTTGTAACCTCTAGAGAAGTAGGGAATGCAAGGGTTTCTAAGGGCAAGAATTGTAGAGGTAGGAATTAGGCAGAAATAATTGGCCACCATCTGCTATGAGAAATGGCCTTGTTCTATGTGGGGCTGAGCTAAAAGATTCTCCATAGAGAAATTGGTACCTGCATTGTGAGGATCCAAGCAAAGAAGAAGAGTGGAGGAACATTCTTTTTAAAGGCATTTCATGAAATATGGAGTGGTAATGGCAAGAATAGCAGTACTAGGCAGGAAGTTCTAGAAGTGGCTTTACCCAAGCTCAAGTTGCACTAGGTGTGTAGAGAAATGGATGGTGTTAGTGGGCAAAATATCCCCTTATAACTTCACATTGCATAACTCCAGGGCTATCAGTCACACGTAGCTTATGTCTATGGGGTGACAGTCATATAAACTTTACTCCCCATTGCACTATTCCAGACTCCTTCCACCCCCGAATAGTGCAATGTGGAGCACTGTCCATTATGGAATTGAAAGTCCTGGGTTTTGGTGTTGGGATTCTGTTGGTTGCAAGTAACAGGAACAACTCAAATAGTTTAAACAATAGAGGTGATATATTGGCTGTGCATTCCAGGGTTAGAGCTGGCCTCTCTGTTTCCATCTCTTGGTATTGTCTTCCTGTTTGTGTTAGCTTCATTACTTCTTACTGCTATGTGATAAGGGTTGGAATGTGTGTGTGCGTGTGTGTGCGCGCGTGTGTGTGTCTGTGTGTGTGCGTGTGTGTGTGTTGGAGGATTACATCTGAGTGATATTTTCCTTGGCAGCCGTATCAGAACCACAGGGAAAAGTAGAGGAGTAGTTCCTTTCAGGGCAGAGGTACTGTTATTTTCTAGATTATGAATGATGTGAAAACCACAAATAAAATGTCCAAGAGACGTTTGAATAGGGCCGTTGGTGGGCCATGAATAGTACTATTTGTTAAAATTTGTGCTAAAAATTACTTCTTTAAAACATTTTTCTTCTTTGTTGAAGTAATTCCACTGTATTCTTAAAGAAATCTGACATGAACAATTTTGTTTAAAAATCTTCTTTTAAGGTCAATTTACAACTTTAATTAATATGGATTGCTGACTGATTATGTAATTCTTCTAGAAATGAGTATGACTGGATTAGGTTGTAATGAGTATTTTATAGGAAAGTCAATACATGGCGTGTGTTTTCAGTCTTTGTCATCTGGTTCTAGTCTCTGCTTGGCAACAGGATTTTATACGTGGCTCTGTCAGTGCAGCCAAAAAACCTTGCATACTTCACAACTTGCCACTCTTTTTAAAGATGTAGTTAGAGACTGAAGCTTATAGCACATGCTGCTGGATTAAGCATCTAAAGTGAGAGTCTCATGGGCCCAAAATATCTCTTGTACCCACACATTTCCTGGTAGGGCAAACTTCACAAAATAAACATAGATGACCTCTTGCCCATCCAGTCTTCCGGAAAGTTTAGAAATGATGCAACCTTTTGGCAATATGACATGACACATCGCTTTACTTGTGCAGAGCATGGACTTCCTTCATTCTGCACCACCATGGATAAACAAGCATTTACATTAGCACTGTCCAGGATTTGGAAACAAAATCTCATCCACTTTAATGAGTCTAGACGTTAGTAAACTGCCTTGGCTTGGGGAAGGACGAATTGACAAATGACAACAGGGAAAGTCTCATGGTTGCTCCACAGTGACATCAAAGACGTAGGAGAAAGTAGAAGCTGGTTTTCCTGTCAATACCTTGGTTTCCTTTTCTTTCTTCATTCCCCCTGCATGTGGGAATAACAATGTCTGGAATCAATATAGGGTTCTTCTTCTAAGAGGCTGAGAGTGTTTTCCCACACATAGAGCTGGCTGGTTTTGTTCTTTCCCTCTGCAGGAGAGTGTGAGCTGTGAGATTTCCTATTGCCCTCTGGCCTCATGTGAGCTGTGAGATTTCCTACTGCCCTCTTGCCTCTGCCGTTAACCTAGCCCTCAATTCTGTTTCCATCCTGGGGGGGCCTGTTCTGATTTCTTTTATTCATTCAGTAAATATAAACAATCCTTTACATGTTGATTAGTGTGCTATGTGCCTTTTTTGTAACCTCTTTTGATTATTCCATAGACTTTTTTTTTGATTCCGTGGAGTAGATATCCCCTGACTTGTTTTTCAGGGGTTTGTGTTTGTTTTAAGATTTTCTTTTCCCTGCAATTACCCATTTACTCTGTTTTCTCTACTTCTAAAAGACAATCCATACTTAGAAGTGCCACAATTCACAATGATGGTGCATAATTAGGCACAACCTAGTTATAATTTTGAGGCCTGGTGTGGTGGCTCATGCCTGTAATCCCAGCACTTTGGGAGGCCAAGGCAGGCGGATCTCCTGAGGTCAGGAGCTCAAGACTAGCCTGGGAAACAAGGTGAAACTCCGTCTCTACAAAAAATACAAAAATTAGCCAGGCGTGGTGGTTCATGCCTGTGGTCCCAGCTACTCGGGAGGCTGAGATGGGAGGTCGAGGCTGCAGTGAGCTGAGACAGCACCACAGCACTCCAGCCTGGGGAACAAAGGGAGACACTGTTTCAAAAAAAAAAAAGAAGAAGAAAAGAATTTTGGACTAAAATGTGGCCCCAAACTACTTAACTTGTAAGGCTCCTTACACTTTGTTTCCAACCCATTTCTCCAGCCTATTACTTTCTTTTTTTTTTTTTTTTTTTTTGAGACGGAGTCTCGCTCTGTCACCCAGGCTGGAGTGCAGCGGTGCGATCTCGGCTCACTGCAAGCTCCTCCTCCCGGGTTCACGCCATTCTCCTGCCTCAGCCTCCCAAGTAGCCGGGACTACAGGCGCCCACCACCACGCCCGGCTAATTTTGTTTTTGTATTTTTAGTAGAGACTGGGTTTCACCGTGTTAGCCAGGATGGTCTCATCTCCTGACCTCGTGATCCACCCGCCTCGGCCTCCCAAAGTGCTGGGATTAAAGGCTGCCTATTACTTTTTATAATGCATTCTGCATGACAGTGCTTCTCAAAGTATATAAAGTAAAGGACGAGCTGTTTTCATTTCCATTCTGTGGAGGTCCGATATGTGCTTCTATTGTGCATAACTAGTGTGTAACTTGAGCAACATGCAGTTCACCATGTGAGCTCTACATGGTCTGTATCCCATGTAAAGAGAGGAGGCCACTGACTGAGTGCACAGTAAGTAGCTAATGTTTTTACAATTTACTTCGGATTTCTTCATTTACATGTTCACAAAATGTAACAAACAATTCACAGTCCACTGACCACAGTTTGAGTAGTGTAGCCTTGAGGCTGTATCTCCACCAGATTCTCCCCATTTTTGAACAAACTTTGGATGTTATTGCTTTTGAACTTTGACCCTAGGCCTTCCCCCAGACTGGGTGCCCTGTTCTCCCTGCTTTGCCCGGTCTATCCTTCCTTTTCTTTGAAATCCCACCTTAAATTTTTTAATATGAGTAATACTTCACATAACATAAAATTCACCATTTTACAGTGAAAATTCTGTGGCTTTTAGTACATTTAAACTGTTGTGCAACCATCACCATGATCTAACTCTAGAACATTCTGTCACCCCTAAAGAAACCCGGTATCCCGTAGCAGGCACTCCCCCTTCCCCCTCCACTCAGCCCCTGGTGACCACTACTTTCAGTCTCCACGGATTTTCCTATGCTGGGTCTTTCATGTCAATAGAATCATATGATATGTAGCCTTTTGTGACTTAGCATAACATTGTCAAGATTCATCCACGTTGCAGCATATATCAGTTCTTCCTTCTTATGGATAAATAATATTCCATTGTATGGATATACCACATTTTGATATTGTTTATCCATTCATCAACTGATGGGCATTTGGGTTGTTTCTGCTTTTTGGCTGTTACGAATAACACTTTTAGTAACAAGTACTAGTTTTATTGTGGAAATATTTTCTTTTCTCTTGGGCATATATCTTGGAGAGGAATTGCTGGATGGTATGGTACCTCTATGCTTAAATTCTTGAGGAATTGTAAACTGTTTTCCAAAGTGGCCGCACCATGCATTCCCACCAGCAATGTATAAGGGTTCTAATTTCTTCACATTCCTGCCAACACTTGTCATTATTTTTTTTCTTTTTAAAAAATTACAGCCATCCTACTGGGCACCATAAATATTTTTCTTCTGTGAACCCATCTGATTACTCCTTCCAGAAAGAATCAACCTTTTCCTCCTCTCTGATCTCACAAGAATATATAATACAGTAATTATTACAGTAGTTATCTTTTTAACCTTATGGTGTGCTAGGTACTATGCTAAGTGCTTCATATGTATGAGGCATTAAATCCTCATATAACTTTTGGGAGGTTGGTTTTACTGTCTCCATTTTACAGACAAAGGCACAGGCAGAGAGAGTAAATTGTCTTAAAATCATGCACCTACAGGAGTGAAAGCTGGGATTTTGAACTCCTGGGCATATCTGACCCCAAAGCCAATGCTCTTTAATGTTAGGCTCTCAATAAATGGAAACTATTTATACATACATACATATATATATATATATATATTTATTTTTTATTTATTTTTATTTTTTTTGAGACAGAGTTTCTCTGTTGTTGCCCAGGCTGGAGTGCAGTGGCGCAATCTGGGCTCACCACAACCTCTGCCTCCTGGGTTCAAGCAATTCTCCTGCCTCAGCCTCCCGAGTAGCTGGAGTTACAGGCATGCGCCACCACACCCAGCTAATTTTGTATTTTTAGTACAGACAGGGTTTCTACATGTTGGTCAGGCTGGTCTCGAACACCTGACAAGGTGATCCACCCGCCTCGGCCTCCCAAAGTGCTGGGATTACAGGAGTGAGCTACTGCCCCCCGCCAGAAACTATTACTATTTTTAAAGCCCTCTCTTTTATAACAGGCCCATGCTTTCCTATTAGAACTAGCAACAGTTCATTTCTAAAGATTTGGTGGAATTTTATCCTTAGTTTACTCAAGAGTATTTCTACAGCATACAGTCAACAGTTCTCATTTTCCCATTCAGATGGGTCTTATATCTAAGCTTCAGGAGTAGATTGCCTTATTTCTAAAGCTTACATCATACCGAACACCTAAAACCCTGCAAAGTGTCATTTGTTTATCGCCAAACACCTACCAATCCTATCATACAAATGGACACACTTGTTGATTTCACCTTTGAATTTGATCTTGAAGAAGACTATTTGGAATTTGCTCGACACATATTTATTAACATGTCTTCTCCAGTTAATATATGCCAAAAAGATATTCTTTTCTTTTTTTGAGATGGAGTCTTGGAGTCTGGCTCTGTCACCCAGGCTGGAGTGCAGTGGTTTGATCTCAACTCACTGCAACCTCCGCCTCCTGGGTTTAAGTGATTCTTTTGCCTCAGCCTCCTGAATAGCTAGGATAACAGGCGCCCGCCACCATTGTCAGCTAATTTTTGTATTTTTAGTAGAGATGAAGTTTCGCCATGTTGGCCAGGCTGGTCTCGAACACCTGACCTCAGGTGATCCACTCACCTTGGCCTCCCATAGTGCTAGGATTACAGGCATGAGCCACTGTGCCCAGCCCAAAGATATTCTTTTCTATTGATTTTCTCTTTCCCTCTGTGAAATGAGAGGATTCAAGTCACAACTTCACTGCTAGGAGAACCATTGTCATTCTCTGTTCTTGCATTTTTTTATTTTTATTTTTACCGAAACACACAAGCCCTAATTATTATGTTACTGAGTAGCTCCTGGTTCACCTCTATCACTTATTAGTGTGTCTTAGGTGTGTTTCTTAATCTCTCCGCACCTCTATTGCCTTAATCTGTAGAAAGGTGGTTGTAAAACACCTTATATCGTTAGTGTGATAATTGTAAGATACGTTTACATCTGTAGATACATATGTGCACATGATCTAAGTAGTAACAAATGAAAGTAAATAGTAATCTTGCAGTAAAGAACCCGCTTAAATTATTTGACGCTGAAATGCTCCCCTCCCCACATTTTTCAAAACAACACTTCTATAAATAATTCAAGAATCTGTTTAATACAATTTTCCCTCCCTCTATCCACCTTTTGTCACCCCTGTGAAGCCCTCTCAGGAGGAGTTAATCACTTTCTCCTCCTTCCTGCTCCGATCATGGTGTGTCATGGCATTTAGGGTGCTGCATTGTAATTTATCTGTTTACACATCTGCCTCTTTCTGAGAGCAGGGCCCATATCTTACTTATTTTTGTATCTCCAATGTGATGCGTAAAATCTAACAGGTGTATAATCAACGTTTATTGATTTGAATTATCTGTCACTGTTGACTTTGACATGTGCACGTTACTCAGAACCCTGGGTAAGGACAGTAACGCACGTTGCTCTGAAACAGGCAGAAAGAAAAGCAAGCTCATCACTTCTGCATGCTTCTTGGGTTGAAAATCCAACATACATAAATATCTTTAGTTAAAAGGACCCTGTGAGTTAGTGTAGGCATTGGATTGACATGCATTCTCTCCAAATGAATCTGCCAGAATGGAAGAGTCAACTTGCTTGAGTGATTCTGTGTCAATACGGCCTTTAAAAAGATGTTACCATGTCATCCTGCTGGATATGTTCATTCCAACAAATCATTTTCTATTCCAAAGTACTGTTTTTTCTTTTTTCTTGTCTTTTTTTTTTTTTTTGAGATGGAGTCTCACTGTGTCACCCAGGCTGGAGTGCAGTGGCGCAATCTGGACTCACTGCAACCTCCGCCTCCCGGGTTTAAGTGATTCTGCTGCCTTAGCCTCCCGAGTAGCTGGGATTACAGGCACGCACCACCACGCCTGGCTAATTTTTGTATTTTTAGTAGGCACGGAGTTTCACCATGTTGGTCAGGCTGGTCACGAACTCCCAACCTCAGGTGATTCGCCCGCCTCGGCCTCCCAAAGTGCTGGGATTACAGGCATGAACCACTGCATTAGGCCGAAATTGCAGTGTTTTCTTCTGATGCTTTGATCTAGCAGCAGCAGAAGACTGTTTATTCTTGTTCTGGATCAAGCTGGGACAAAACTGTGTTGGGCATCATTCTACCTTTGATTCTGTGCTGATGGTTCTTTTTATTGTGCACACTCTTCTTCAAGCCATGTCCTGATTCCCCTTTCCTCCCAGTCTCTGCTTTCCCCCAGTTCATTTCTGTATTTGCTACCAAAAAATGTTTTAGGTCACCTTTCTCCTTTTCATTATGCATACCAACTATGCATGTCCCCATAGACTGATGCCACATCCCCATGAAGAAAAGCATCTCACAGAGGTCAACTGGTGTTTTCCAGGTCACACAAGGTCAACACTGAACCCAGAATCCAGATTTTCTAACCTATGCTTCCCAGTAGCTTTCACTCTCACTGTAATTTTTATTGTTGTTATTTTTAAAGCTTAGGGGTTAACTCCCCTACCCCAGTGTGCGCAAACACACACACACACACACACACACACACACACACACACACACACGTTTAATATAGAGAGAAACATGAAGTTCTCTTTTCACAAGACATTAAGGGAATGGAAATTGTGAAGAAAGCTGTGAAGAACTTCCAAGTCATATTCAGGATTTTCCCAAATGGTTAGGTTAAGTACACAGAAAAAGGTAGCCTCCCTACCTCCCCAGGGTGGCTCCAGTCTATCTGAAGGGGCCATTCTCTGGCCATCCTGAAACTCATGCAGGTGGTGACTTCATCTTTCCCTGAGTAAGTGTGGTCACCGGCAGACACTCCCGGCGGGGAACAGGCAGGCAGGCCAGGATGTGGGAGGGTGATTCAGCAGGTAACAGCAAAGCCCCATAAGCCACCCTGTGGAAACGCCCATGAGGTCCACCCTCTCAGGCAAGTTTTAGAGGACAGAAGCCAAACTCCTACTCCCCACACTATTTTCCTCAAGACGAATTTTCTGTTGTCCCCTTTAGGAGAAAAGCTTCATATCCTGATCCACGGATCCCCGAATATTCCTGATGAATGTGGTCACTGCAATATGGTTCCCTTTTCTCTTCTTTCCTTCCTTCCTTCCTTTCTCTTTCTTTTCTTTCTTTCTTTTTTTTTTGAGACAGAGTCTTGCTCTTGTCGGCCAGCCTGGAGTGCAGCGGCACGATCTCGGCTCACTGCAACCTCTGCCTCCCCGGTTCAAGAGATTCTCCTGCCTCAGCCTCCCAAGTAGCTGGGATTACAGGCGCCCGTCACCATGCCCGGCTAATTTTTGTATTTTTAGTAGAGATGGTGTTTTGCCATTTTGACCAGGCTGGTCTCAAACTCCTGACCTCGTGATCTGCCTGCCTCGGCCTCCTAAAGTGATGGGATTACAGGCGTGAGCCACTGCACCCGGCCTCCCTTTGCTTTTCTTATGAAAAGGATTGATGGGCACTTGCCAACTTTATTTAGGCTCCTGCAGGTGAGGTGCTCCATGTTGAGCAGCCCTAGAATCCTGCACAGTCTGGGGCCTGGTGAGCCTGCAGCTAACTCAAGTGGTTGAGACGTGTTTGTTGAGGGAAGGAAGGGAAGAAATAGAAACTGTTAAAGGAATCTCTTCTTGAACTTCCTTATTGTATTCAGAGTTTTAAAAGCATGTAATTATGATGTTGTAACTGAAACTCTGAATATAACTATCGATATCTGAAACTTGTAATAAATTAATGAAAAATGAGTTGATTTCTTTTTTTCTTACTTCTTGGCACTTGGATCATAAAAACTGAAATGTTCTCTTGAAGCATATTTTGAAGTGTGGTTTTTTCCTTTCTCAGTGGATATTTATAGAACAAACATTAACATGCAAATTATATGGATACATTCTACCCCCACCCAACCCTCTTCATAATAGCCTGTGAAAAGTCAGACCGCGAAGGCACAAAGACGGTCTTATTACTTTTAACCTTTGGGGAGGGCGGCATGAACCACGGAAAGTTTACTTGGGTATCAAACTCAAAATGTACCTATGGCTTGACACAGCTCTGCCAGATAACACTCCCACACACATGCCAAGGTGCTTTTTGGACTTTGCTATGGAGACAGCCTCGCAATTAACGACACACACCGGGAAGGACAAAGAGAGAGGAAAAGTGTTTTCTGAAATGTCAGGTCCTCCCTCCTGCTGACTCTCAGCAATTTGTCAGGGGCTTTTCTCTGTGGTACTGGAGCTGGATTTTCCCACAGGTAAACTAGTTTTCCAGCTCGCACTCAGGAGCCCTGCTCTTCTGGGAAGCCCTAGGGTGTAATCTGGAGCCTGGTTGGGTTTTGGGGGTGTCATCTGACATCAGTTACCTCAGTGGGAAGGCCCTAGGCCGGAGTCAGGTGTTGAGAAGGGAGGTGAGGTTTGGTGCTTCCGAGGGTTGCTTAGTCCCAGTCAGATGCAATCTCTATCTCCTATGAAAAAGAAATACAATTCCTGTCACTCTCTTTCCTTAAAACCAACTTTGGGCCTTTATTACCCATAAGACAAAGCCTAAATTACTTAGTCTAGCACACAAGATTCTTAAGAAACTGGCTCTAGCCTAATCTCTCTCATTTCTTGATACTTATGAGTCGTTTGTCCTAAGGACCTGACAGTGTAGCTGTTACAAACTGTTGTGGGCTTCCAGCACGTTACATGGGGTACACAACACAGGCTCCCTTCCTGGACTGACCCCTCCACTGTAAGTGCCTTGTAAACTAATCTTGAGACACATTCAGCTGCCAGCCATCCCTAAATCCCTCCTGTGCTTGTTTAAAATCTGCATTGTGATGTGTATTCCATTAGAGTGAGTTTAGGCCAGGTGCGGTGGCTCATGCCTGTAATCCTCCTAGTACTTTGCGAGGCTAAGGCGGGCAGATCACTTGAGGTTAGGAGTTTGAGACCAGCCCGGCTAACACGGTGAAACCCTGTCTCTACTAAAAATACAAAAATTAGCCAGGCGTATGGCGGGCATCTGTAGTCCCAGCTACTCAGGAGGCTGAGGCAGGAGAATCGCTTGAACCCAGGAGGCGGAGGCTGCAGTGAGCTGAGATTGCACCATTGCACTCCAGGCTGGGTGACAAGAGCAAGACTCCATCTCAAATAAATAAATAAAAATAGAGTGAATTTAATTTCTCATATGTCCACATCTTCCACAAGTCTCTGAACTCCTTGAAGGCAGGGGCTATATCCGTTTCTCTCTGAATTCCCATTTTCTGCACAGGCTCTGGTAAGGGCAGAGCTACTTTGGTGCGTAACATACAGATTACTCTCTACTCATGTGCAATCTATTCCAGTTTTGGCGGAAAATAACTGGAAAATGGTGTAAATCAAGGAAGAGTTCCAGGCAGGGTCTGCCAGCCCTCTTCTTTGCTCTGCTTATAGGGGTTAACCAAAGTTCAATTTATTTCCCTTTTGCAAATATGTCAGAAAGTCAAATACGCAGGCCACATTGAAACAAAAACTGCCAGAGTGGGCATCAATAAAATGGGATTCTAGCCCTAGTTCTGACACTAACTAGTTGTGCATCATTGGAGAGATTAATTAGCCTAACTCTCAGTTTCTTCATCTATAAAATTGAGGATTTGGTCTAGGTGATGCTATTTCTTAGGGACTATTCACAGGGACTTCAGCAGGGGTTTGAGAAAAAGGCAATTTTCAAAAAATTTATTTCATTTTATTTATTTATTTTTAGACAAAGTCTCACTCTGTCACCCAGGCTAGAGTGGAATGATGTGGTCTCGGCTCACTGCAACCTCCGCCTCCCGGGTTCAAGTGATTTTCCTGCCTCAGCCTCCCGAGTAGTTGGGACTACAGTAGGCACGTGCCACCACACCCGGCTAAGTTTTGTGTTTTTAGTAGAGATGGGGTTTCACTATGTTGACCAGGCTGGTCTCGAACTCCTGACCTCGTAATCCACCCACCTCGGCCTCCCAAAGTGTTGGGATTACAGGTGTGAGGCACCGCACTCAGCCAAAAAAGGCAAATTTAAAAGGAACTGTCTGATCCAGCTTTTAGACACCTCATGATTATGAAAGTACCCAGCATAGACCTGGTACATAGTGAGTCCTCAACAGATGAGCGATCAATATCTCCCTGATACCTTTTTTCTACATACTTCTGGGGGCTAGAGAAACTAGTCTTATCCTGTTTTTCTACTACTGTAGTCCGATCTAGAGCTTCATCTCCCTTGAGAAGTTCCTTTTCCTTCCTGTGTTGCAGTGGGCTACTTTTGAGGAGGTAAGCACAGAGCAGTGGGAAGTGCTTTCCAAATAGGGGTCTGTTATGGGTTGAATTATATCACCCAAGAAAGATACATTGAAGTCCTAACCCTCTGTTACCTCAGAATGTGACCTTATTTGGAAATAGGGTCATTACAGAGATAATCAAGTTAAAATGAGGTCGTTAGTATAGGTCCTAATCCTATATGACTGATGTCTGTATGAAAAGGAGAAATTTGGACACAGAGACAGACACACACACAGTAAAGATGAGGTGAGGACACGGAGAAGATGCCATGTGATTGGAGCGACGCATCCACAGGCCAAGGAGCACCAGGGATGCTGGGAAACGCCAGAGCTAGAAGAGGCCAGAAAGTCTTGGCCCCTAGAGAGAATCTGGCCTTGCCAATGCCTTGATTTCTCACTTCTAGTCTCCAAAACTGTAAGATAACAACCTTCTCTTGTTTCAAGCCACCTAGGTTTTGATTTTTTGGTAGGACAGCCTTAGGAAGCTAATATAGGGTCTACACTGAGCTTTGTGTGGGCTAATGAAGAGAGGGGTGTATGTGTATGTGTTGTTGTTAGAAGGTAATTTACATCAAGGGAAGGTAATGCATCAGCTCCTAGAAAATTAAGCAGATGCCATTTGCCCAAGAAAAAGCCTTCAACTCATTAGCAGATTCCACCTATCTTTTCTTCTCCCCTTTTCACTCTTCTTTCTCTTCTTGCCTTGCTGCAACTTGCCTCACCATGCTTGCAAACGCTCCTTTATCTCTCCTCTCCAGCCCTGCACTGGCTCCCTCATAAGGGACACTTTATGCTGATGTTTACTTAGAAATGTCAGGGCTACAAAATCTGGCATGGTTGTAGAGGCCTCCAAGCGAGGAAGAGAGACTAAAGCCTCCTACTTGAGGGAGATTTGGGGAGGCTCAGACCCTGGTGGCACCAGCAAAAGGAAGCCAACTAAGGTAAACTTTTCTCTTTCCAGTTGGTAAATCCTCCTTGTGAAACTGGTATAATAGATGCTGTATAAAAACTCTGCCGAATTCTTCCCTCTGGAATCTTCGGGGCGCCTGACATAACCCTCACCCTCCGCGCAGTGGAGAGCAGAGAGGCCTCCCTCTGTGTGCTCCATCACAACTTTCCACTGAATCTGGGTTTGGGCGGCTTGATTTGAATGGAGGATTGTTCAGCTGCAGCCAGTGCCGGCAGAGCTGCCAGTTACAACACTTAAAAAATACAGTACTGCTTTTAAAGTAGAGTAGAAGGGCGTTGAAGCGAGGATGCAGGGGTTCCTTGTCAAATACACTGCCCATCTGTCCTGGCTTTCCTTGGAGGGGAGGGCCAAGGCTTCCCCAAGGCAGGGAAACAGTCCCCAAGCTCCGCCTACAAACCAGCATTTTTGGGGAGGAAGCCTGCTCCGTATCTGTGCTCCCGAACAGACCATTTGGTAAGATTTGAAGTGATAGCTCTTTGTCCATTGGCGCACCCTCTAAGTAGTATTTACAGATTAACTATGCCTAGATGCATGCCACAGACATCTGGTATATGTTTCAAGTTAAATGCTATGAGAGAGAGATCATTTCTGAAATCGCAAAGATTGGTCCATACTTTAAGAATTATGTAGAAATTATACCCGCAAATCTCTCTGCTGAGATGAAATGTAATTATATGGTTAAATATTCATATTTTAATTATTGGAAAGAAGTACATTAACAAACTATTATTGAAATATGTTCCATATAGAGTCAAGTAGGAAAACCTAAAGAGTTAGTCTTTTCTGTACTTGCAATGCAATAATTTCATTGTTTGCTACAGCAGGAATTTTTTTTATACAAGTCACTGGAATTATTCAGCTGCTTGAGTGATTTGCCTGTTCCTGAATAAAACCCTTGCTCGGAAGCCAAATCACTCTTATTGGTCAGCTTCAAAATTCCATAGGTGTGCTTAGACTCAAAGAAAATGAAGATTTCTTAAAAATGACCAATTTTGTTTTGTTGGTGATGCATAAAGGTTGGAATAGGACGGTTTCTGATTATTCTCCGGTGATTCATACAATTCATTTTTGTTTTTAAAACACACCTAAGACATTTCTCTTTCTGTGTCCTTATGAAATGGTGGGGAGGGGATCCTTACATACGCATAACCTACCTTTTCTGGCCACTGATAACATCTGTCCTTCTGGAAGTGGATTAAATCAAAGCATAGGAGTGCCTTTTTTTTTTTTTTTTTTTTTTTTTTGCCAGTTTTCACAGTAAAAGAAACAGAATGTAGAAACCATAACCATATTGACCTTCTAGACGAAGCCCAGTAGGATGAAAGTAACATTTCTACAAGACAGCATGTCATAAAAGGGGCTTGTAAAGACAAAATCATTAGACGACAAGTACGCTTCATTGAAAAAGAGGTGCATTTTTCTATTGTTCCAAGTATTGTGTAAGGCAGGAAGATGGAGAATAATATTCAATGCATCTGCAAAGGAAATGAGTCCCAAAAATGCCTTATTTGGTGCTTTAGTCAAAAAGGCCACCTGTCTCATTTACCAAATAAGCAGTTTTTTTTTTCATTCCTTTTATAAGATCAAGCCCACTTCTCTGAGGAATGAATCAGAGGCATTGCATTTACCACATAAATAACTGATTGAAGTAAGTGATTTACCTTTTCCTTATTTTATCACATAAAAAAGGGCAATGATTACATGTAACACCTAATTCTTATTGCCTTATTGATTACGTCTGAATGCTGACCATGCTTTTACTAAAGAGACAATGCTATGTTCTCAGATTCTCAAAATGAGCAGGCCAGATTACTTAATCAAATCTATAGTAGGAAGTCCAGAGCTGAACAATGCACTAGCTGGTGTGTTTTGACTTCACTGTCTCCATGGTAACATGCACGAACAAATTACGAAAAATATGAACGATTTGTCTGAAGGGCAGAAATTTGCCAAATCTTATTTAGTCTAATTAGTTTTAAATTAATGATATTTTAGGTGATTAAAATGTTTTTCCAAGAATTCTCATGCAAAAAAAAAAAAAACTATTGCATTTACTGACTTTGGTATAATGTTCATATTTTTAGAGTAAGCTGGTTGTGGAGTGAGAGTTACTAACTTGCATAAATTAAAATGATAAGCATTTCAACGTGGTAAGAAGCCAAAACAACAGTTTAAAAAGTAAACATTTTAGTTCATCTGATTATTTAACATACTGAGAATGCATTTCTTAAAAGCATGTATATACATTTTAAATGTAAGTATTTTCTGATTTTAGGCAAATCATAGTAGCCTATGCAAGCTGTGTACTAAGGGACTGAACTGGAATACAGCAACAGGCAAAGCTTCAGGAATCAAGAAGGCAAGAAAAGTGACACTCCAGAAAATACAAAGTCCCACAGCTCTCTCAATTCACGTTAAATCTGGACTATCTAGAAGCTGTTTTCTTCTATCAAAGGCCAAAGTGAGTGGCTCATGCCTGTAATGTCAGCACTTTGGGAGGCTGAGACAGGATGCTTGCTTGAGGCCAGAAGTTCAAGACCAGCCCGGGTTATAAAGCGAGAGCTCATCTCTACAAAAAAACAAAACAAAACAAAACAAAAGGCTAAAGTGAGGTACGTAATTCTTCCCACTGCCATAGCTTAAAGAAGCCTACAGGATAGGTCAAGAACCAAGCTGCTATGGCAGGAATTGTATGGAGTGTGCTGGAGACAACAAGGAGTCTCCTTTTGCTCTGTAAAATTAATAACGAGAGTAGCTAGAGTTATGGAAAAGAGGTTTGGTGAAGAGTCAAAAAAAAAAAAGCAAAAGCCCTGAGCTTTGAGCACCTGCACACAGAGAGCCGGAGCTCTCTCCGCAGTTGGTGTTAAATGACTGAACACAAGGAAGTAATTGTTCCTGCACTAACTAACTAGTGCAGGATTCTGAGAAAAGGTTCAATAGACAATGGAACGATGGAAACGGGGGAAAAATCTGAGAGAGAGAGAGAAAGAGAGGAGTTCCCTTAGACTGGTGACTGGTGAAAACCTTTCACAGTTCCTCAGTGAAGAAAGCTAGAGACCTTGGTGAAGAAACATATTGTCTATTTTAATGTGATTTCTCCCTCTCTGTTTACCAAACACATTCCATAGTGTACTGTCATCATTAATAAAGCTTCATAAGGTTCTGAATTTTGAGATACTATTGTTAAGGATTCATAGCTGATCCAGGAGACTTAGAGTGACAATTTTAGTCCAAATTCTCGTATGCAAAGTAGGCAGACTAGTCAAGCAACACCTTTTCAGCACTCTGCCTTAACCAATCCTGTATCTGAGTACGCTGCATGTATCCCTGGGTACTGTGGCCAAAACAGAGAGAACTCCTGCTTCCAGTCTGCCCACAAACCAGGAGACAGTCATTCAACAGAGCAATAAGACTACAAAATGGATCTTCTTCTGGTGTTAGAGATGAAGAGAAACTAATTCCTCCTTGTTTTTTACAACAGCAGTTTGAGTAGAGTTTAGGTATGTAAATAAATAGTTCAACAGAGAAAAGAAAAGATAAGTTAACATAATAAAGTTAGTTACTGGTTTTTTGTATATTATTAATGCATATATTAGTGGCATTTTCTGGACTTTAGAAAATGCCTTTGCTGCCAGATAGATTTTATGCTCATCAAACACACACACACACACACAAAGGTAACTATGTGAGGTGACAGATATGTTATTTAACTTAATTGTTGCAACCACTTCACAATGTCCACGTATACCAAAACATCGCATTGTGCACCTTAAATATATTCATTTTTTACTTGTCAATTATATCCTAAAAAAATCTGGAAAAAATAAAAATAAATTTAAAAAATGCTTTTAAAATCTGTGTACTCAATGTAAAGGCTAAAAATATAATGCCTCCAAAAGAAAATGAAAAATATCTTTGTGATCTTGGAATTGGCAACAGTTTCTTAGATAAAACAGAGAAAATATTAACCATTAAAAATTAGTAAATTGGACTTCATCAAAATGAAAATTTCTGCTCATCAAAAGACATTGTTAAGAAAATGAAAAGGCAAGCCACAGAATGGGAGAAAATATTTAAATACTTATGTCTGACAGAATATATAAAGAATTCATACAACCTAACAACAACATGAACAAATATATATATTTACCTAAAAAATCTGTAAACAAATATTGAGCTGTCATTAGTAATATGCTTTTTTTTTTTTTGACAGTGTCTCACTCTGTCATCCAAGTTGGAGTACAATAGTGAGATTTCAGCTCACTGCAATCTCTGCCCCCTAGGCTCAAGCCATCCTCCCACCTCAGCCTCCCGAGTAGCTGGGATTACAGGCATGTGCCACCACACCTGGCTAATTTTTATATTTTTTGTAGAGACAAGGTTTTGCCATGTTGCCCAGGCTGGTCTCAAATTCCTGAGCTCAAGTGATCCACCTGCCTCGACCTCCCAAAATGTTGTGATTAAAGGCGTGAGCAACTGTGCCCAGCCAGTAATATGCGTGTTGAAGGGTAAAGTGTACTGATGGGTACAACTTACTTTGGAATGCATTAAAAAATAAGATGGGTTGATGGATGAATGAGAGAATGGATACACGATAAAGTAAATTAGCAAAATGCTACTTGTAGAATTTAGGTGGTGGGTATTGGGACAATAATTGTCCATTGTACAGTTCCTTTCTTTTTTTCTGTATGTTTGAAAAATTTCATAACAAAATGTTGAGAAAAAAAAAGTTAAATATTCACTTACCTCATGATCCAGCAGGTTATCTTCTAGATATTTACCTAAAAGAAATAAAAACTTATGTTCACACACAGATTTATATAAGAATGTTTACAGAGCATTATTCATACTACTTCTAAGCTGGAAAGGTATCCATCAACAATGGAATGGATATGCAAATTGTGGTATGTTATACACTGGATAAGTATTTAGCAATAAAAAGGAATGAACCATTGATCCAAAGAACAAGATGGCTAAATCCCAAAAACTGTATGTTGAGCCAGAAAAACCAGAGGCAAAATTCAGAGAACAGGTTTAGAACAGTGATTGCCTGTGAGAGGTGGAAAGTGACTGGAAGGGGCACAGAGAACTTTCTCGGTTGATAGATAGAATGTTTTTATCATGGCTGGGTGCAGTGGCTCACACCTGTAATCCCAGCCCTTTGGGAGGGAGGCTGAGGTGGGCAGATCACTTGAGGTGATCTGAGGTCAAGAGTTCAAGACCAGCCTGGCCAACATGGTGAAACCCTATCTCTACTAAAAATACAAAAATTAGCTGGGCATGGTGGTACATGCTTGTAGTCCCAGCTACTTGGAAGGCTGAGGTAGGAGAATCACTTGAACCCAGGAGGCAGAGGTTGCAGTGATCGTGCCACTAGATCGTGCCACTGCACCCCAGACTGGGAGACAAAGAAAGACTCCATCTGAGAAAAAAAAAAGTTTATATCATGATTGGAGTGATGAATATTTAGGTGTGTACATTGATCAAAATTCATTAAATTGTATACTTAGGATGTGTGCATTTCTGTATGTAAATTTTACCTAAGTGGGGAAAAAGACTGAGACAGAGAGATCTCAAATTATTAAGCAGAGTTGTCTTTCTCTGTGTGACTATAGATGACAAGTCAGAGGCAGTAGACAACCCTGAATAGAAGGAAGCAAAGGTAACAGATTTCATGTCAGGAATCCAACTCTAATTAGTGGGACAAGTCTATTCTTGGAGATGTCCTGAGATAGGAAAAAAGTCACTCAATATTTCAAAGTATTGTAAGATGAGAGACGATTGTAATATCTTAGTCAATTTGTGAACAATATAGATCTCAGCCCCAAGTTCAACTGCATAGGATCATGGGCACACTAGTATGTTTTCTTTGTTTTAGGAAATGTACAGATTAAGTTCCAATGGGAAACTAGATGTCAACTTTGATGGACTTAAATCGTTGCCCTTTCCTCATAGGAAAGCCTCCAAGGCCCTCTCTCTGAGTCTGTCTTATACATAAGGCAAAGAAGGTGGGCTAACTGCTTTGTTTCCTAGCCCTTGGCAGGTTAGAAGCAGCAAATTAGAAATGGGAGGAGGCAGTGAAATAGCCAGAGGCTGTGACTCAGACAGCAAGTGACAGCTCACAGCAGGCAGAAAGGATGAAAGGAAGGGAGAAATATAAAAAGCCAACCTAAATACTCAAGAACACAACAGTGGGAAGGGGGGCCTCCCACAGCTCAATTTATTTAAATAGTTCCTCAGTGCACTGCAGTGTTTTACAGACCAGTCCAAAATCTTTTTTAATGTCCTAAAAGAAGAACCAGTAATGTAATGACATCCATTATGCATTGTGTAAGTCAGAGAATTGTTACATTTTCCCTAAAATTTTGTGTGATATGATTAGAAAAATATTTAAACATTTTTTGATCAGAGGATTGAACTTGTTAAAAAAATTGCTTCTGTAAAATACTTATTCCCTGATAATATTGAATAACACATTTTTTTACTTTTTAAGATTTGAAGTAAAAGATTTTTACTTTTTAAGATTTATGAATGTTAATTCAAAAAAATTATACGTTAGATGACATCTGGAAGAAGGAAAATAATGGTAACATCCACCTCTGTCACCAAAGCTGTTGTCTTGAACTTCCTATTTTCCAAAAGCCTTTGAAATGCCATCCCTATTGTTTTATGAGGGCTTTATATATCAACATCTGTCACAGAATTCCTTTCTTCTGTATGTAAATCGTTATATTAGATCAGACTTCGAATTTATTTTTAGCAGTTTTGTGAAAAGGAGACCCCATTTTGTGAATCTTTTACCAAGTGATATGATGGGATTAGCTCCTATTGAGTCCTGAGAGCCAAGTGTAGCATTTCTTTCCAACTCTGATTTCATGTTGTCGGCTTGAAAATGGCTGTGGTGGGAGTATGTATACCATGAAAATCAACAAACACCATAAATCAGGGCTCTTTTCTTTCTTTAGAGAGCTAGTTGTTAAACATTTACCAGCACACCACTGGTTCCATCAGATTCTAAAAACACACTGTATTTAGTCTTAGATTCAGTTGTCACCACCTGTGGCTCTTCCCTTAATAAGAAACATAGCTTGTTACAGCTGGGTAGTCCTCAGCACAATTTGTTTTGTTATGTACATTTATTGAGGTCTGGATAATCTACTTTATTTATTAAGTTATTCAATTATTGATGACAAAATAGATGGGAAATAAACTGAGTAAAAAAGGAAATAAAGGTTATAGGGTCAGTATTGTTACAAAATATAATCTTCGTAGTACTTGGTTTCAAGAAATCAGGTATTTTTGTCAGATCATGATAGGTATTGAATGCAATAGACAAGTTACCCAAGCGAATATTGCACTCCTGGCTTCATATTTAGAAAAGAGGTGCACCAGCCAGGTGTGGTGGCTCATGCCTGTAAGCTCAGCACTTTGGGAGGCCGAGGTGGGTGGATCACTTGAGGTCAGGAGTTCGAGACCAGCCTGACCAACGTGGTGAAACACCGTCTCTACTAAAAATACAAAATTAGCCAGATGTGGTGGCATATGCCTGTAATCTCAGCTACTTCGGAGGCTGATCGCTTGAGCCCGGGAGGCGGAGATTGCAGTGAGCCGAAATCGCGCCATTGCACTCTAGCCTGGGCAACAAGAGTGAAACTCTGTCTCAAAAAAAAAAAAAAAAAAGAAAAAAGAAAAAGAGGTGCACCATAAGGTGCCACAAAAACAGTTGTTTTAATCAGGGAAGGCATACACACTTCCATTATGTGGATATCTGAAGCTCTTGAGAAAGGCAAGTTTGCTTAAATTACTCACTCTACCAGTGAGTAATATTTGTGATTTTAGGGAATTTCATTGCATATGTAAATTCAACGTGATGACACTTATAACCTGCTTGGGATTTAAGCTTTGACATGTGCTGCCCTGTAGGCACCTACGAATTTCTGACCAGGTTTTATTGCTGTGTAACAACTGCGACCTCTTGAATAGGGCCAGAGCTGTCATTATAAGAAAAAAATGTTTAACATTTTTTTCCTCTTTAAAGCTGTGAGAAGACTAGTTACATGCTTTCAAAGAGACGGATTGTTTCTTCATCCCAGTCTCATATTTGACCCTGAAAAGCAGAGAATTTGGATGAAAAATATCTGTTTATCTAATAAATTCTGTTATCTAATGTAGTCAGTTCATCAAATTCTCTGAATAACTTCATCCAGAAGCCTGAATTCACAAATGTTTATTGAGTGCTATTAAAAAGCAAAGGACTCTGCTGGTTATTACAACAATATAGAAAGATAACCAAGATATGGTTTCTGCCTTCCAGGAATTTAGTACATAGTGGAGGACAAAAACTTACTATTTTATGTAAAATAACTGAAATCATACCAAACACACTTTCAGACCACAACACAATAAAAATAGAAGTCAAGACTAAGAAAATCTCTCAAAACCATGCAATTACATAGAAATTAAACAACACGCTCCTGAACGACTCTTGGGTAAATGCTGAAATTAAGGCAGAAATCAAGAAGTTCTTTGAAAATAATGAAAGTAAAGATACAACATACCACAATCTCTGAGACACAGCTAAGGCAGTGTTAAGGGGAAATTCAGAGCACTAAATGCCCACATCACAAAGTTAGAAAGATCTCAAAAACACAATCTAACTTCACAACTGAAAGAATTAGAGAAGCAAGAACAAATCAACCCCAAAGCTAGCAGAAGATGAGAAATAAAAATCAGAGCTGAACTGAAGGAAATCGAGACACGAAAACCCATTCAAAAGATCAATAAATCCAGGAGTTTGTTTTTTGAAAAAATTAACAAAATAGGCCATTAGCTAGACTAATAAAGAAGAAAGAAGATCCAAATAAACACAATAGAAATGATGGAGGGAATGTTATACCAACCCCATAGAAATAAAAACAACCATCAGAAACTACTATGAACACCTCTATACACACAAACTAGAAAACCTAGAAGACATGGATGTATTTCTGGACACATACACCCTCCCAAGATTGAGCCAGGATGAACGACAGACCAATAATGAGCTCTGAAATTGAGTAAGTAATAAAAAGCCTACCAATCAAAAAAAGCCTACCAATCAAAAAAAGCCTGGGACCTGATGAATTCACAACTGAAATCTACCAGATGTGCAAAGAAGAGCTAGTACCATTCCTACAGAAACTATTCCAAAAAATTGAGGAGGAAGGACACCTTCCCAACTCATTCTATGAGGCCAGCATCATCTATGTACCAAAACCTGGCAGAGGCACAACAAAAAAGGAAAACTTCAGGCCAATATCCTTGATGAACATCGATGCAAAAATCCTCAAGCAAACAAACAAAAAAAAACACTTGCAAACCAAATCCAGCAGCACATCAAAAAGCTAATACAACATGATTAAGTAGGCTTTATTCCTGGGATGCAAGGTTGGTTCAACATACACAAATCAATAAATGTGATTCATCACATAAATAGAACTAAAGACAAAAACCACGTCATTATCTCAACAGAGACAGAAAAGGCTTTGATAAAATTCAACACCCCTTCAGTGAAAAACTCGTAATAAACTAGGTATTTAAGGAACATACCTCAAAATAATAAAAGTCGTCTATGACAAAGCTATAGCCAACATTATACTGAATGGGCAAAACTGGAAGCATTCCCCTTGAAAACCAGCACAAGAAAAGGATGCTCTCTCTCACCACTCCTATTCAACATAGCATTGGACATCCTACCAAGAGCAATCAGGCAAGAGAAAGAAAAGGATATCCAAATAGAAAGTGAGGAAGTCAAACTATCTCTGTTTGCAGATGGCATGATTCTGTATCTATTATAGAAAACCCCATAGTCTCATCCCAAAAGCTCCTCCAGCATATAAACTTCAGCAAAGTTTTGGGATACAAAATCAGTGTACAAAAATCACTAGCGGCCGGGCGCGGTGGCTCACGCCTGTAATCCCAGCACTTTGGGAGGCCGAGGCGGGCGGATCACGAGGTCAGGAGATCGAGACCATCCCGGCTAAAACGGTGAAACCCCGTCTCTACTAAAAATACAAAAAAATTAGCCGGGCGCAGTGGCGGGCGCCTGTAGTCCCAGCTACTTGGGAGGCTGAGGCAGGAGAATGGCGTGAACCCAGGAGGCGGAGCTTGCAGTGAGCCGAGATCCCGCCACTGCACTCCAGCCTGGGCGACAGAGCGAGACTCCGTCTCAAAAAAAAAAAAAAAAAAAATCACTAGCATTCCTATATACCAACAACAGCCAAACCAAGAGCCAAATCAGAAAGGCAATCTCATTCAAAATTGACACACAAAGAATAAAATACCTAGGAATACAGCTAACCAGGGAGGTAAAAGATCTCTACAATGAGTATTACAAAACACCGCTCAAAGAAATCGGAGAAGACACAAACAAATGGAAAAACATCCCATGCTCATGGACAGAAAGAATCAATATCATTAAGATGGCTATACTAGCCAGGTGTGGTGGCTCACACCTTTGGGAGGTCGAGGCAGGCGGATCACGAGGTCAGGAGGTTGAGACTATCCTGGCTAACACGGTGAAACCCCGTCTCTACTAAAAATACAAAAAAAAAAAAAAAAAAAAAATTAGCTGGGCGTGGTGGTGGGCGCCTGTAGTCCCAGCTACTGGGGAGGCTGAGGCGGGAGAATGGCGTGAACCCGGGAGGCAGAGCTTGCAGTGAGTCGAGATCACGCCACTGCACTCCAGCCTGGGTGACAGACCGAGACTCCGTCTCAAAAAAAAAAAAAAAAAAAAAAGTAACGATTAAACTAACACAAGGAATGAATGATAAAGGTTTGAGGTGATGGATACCCCAATTACCCTGATTTGCTCATTACACATTGTACTTGTATCAAAATATCACATGTACCCCATAAATATGTATAACTACTATGTATTCGTAAAAATTAAAAATGTATTTAAAAGTTTTTAAATTCAAAAACATTCAAAAGAAAATAAAAGTAACAATGAAAGATGCGTGGGTAATAAAAGGTCAAATAAACCAGGCTAGGTGCGGTGGCTCATGCCTGTAATCCCAGCACTTTGGGAGGCCGAGGAGGACAGATCACTTGAGGTCAGGAGCTCGAGATCAGCCTGGCCAACACGGTGAAATCTCGGCTCTACTAAAAATTCGAAAAATTAACTGGGCATGGTGGTGCATGCCTGTAGTCCTAGCTACTTGGGAGGCTGAGGCAGGAGAATCGCTTGAACCCGAAAGGAGGAGATTGCAGTGAGCCGATATTGTGCCACTACACTCCAGCCTGGGCGACAGAGAGACACTCAGCCTCAAAAATAAAATAAAATAAACTGGCTCCTCTTAGCATATGCTGCTGAGTCTTCTAAAGTATTGCTTTCTAAAGTTTAGTTATCTTTTAATTTTAGTAGGACACATTTTATCTGCAGAGAAAGCCAATCAAAATGATGTGTGATAGTGATAAGTAAAATAGGAATTTTACTTAAAATATAAACTGCTAATCCTATTCCTTATATGTTCTTCATTAAAATGACTTTATGCTTCCCAAGTATCAATAAATATTAAACAATATTCAGGACAAAAATCTGAATTTCATGTAAGTGTTTTAATAATCTGTCAAACTTCCTTAAATTGGAATATTATCAGAAGCCAATAGAGAAAACAGGAGAGAACTGGAGCCAGAAAAAAGGCATATTGAAAACAAGAAAACTATTGGGTGAATCCAAAAATGAAACTTGTGAATTTTCCAAAACATTTAAAAAATAAATCATGTTAGATTTTGTTCCCCCTTCAACGTGATTTACTTAACTCCACCCCAACAAATGTCACTGAGAACACAGGCACTAAATCATTGAAGCCAGAGTTGACTGGAAGGCAAAAGAAGCATTCCACTCTCTGAGCCGAGGAAGCATTCCACTCTAAGAGCCTCTTTGCTGCTCACTGCCCATGAACACAAACCGTTATCCTGCTTTCCCCCATCTCCCTCCCCACCTTAACCTCCCACCCCTGGCAAAACAAAAGCGTAGATTATGGTGAAAGCAGGCGATCTTGGGCAGGGCTTTTTTATTACTCAATAACTTGTAGTAGAGTGAAGAAATCACTTCACCTCTTTGGGCCTCAGTCTCCTCATTTGCAACATACCTGACTTTCCTGAAAAATCAGATTTTTTGAGGCTCAAATTACATACTATATGAGAAAATGAAACAGTAAAACCTTATGCAAATGTGGTTTTAGGTGTTTACTGCTTATTTCCGATTATCTTCTCCCAAGTACATTAAAGAAATCTTCTTAGGTTTATGAAACTACATTATTGCAGGTCCTTTTCCCTTGGCTATATTGGAAAGTTCCAGAATTGCCCATGTTTCTCCCATCAATTACATCACTTCACTAAGGAGAAGGTTGAGTGGATTAGTGGATAGGTTATGGGACTAGGCATAATACTTCCTGTATTCTTATCTGACTTGGCCATTGTTTTGTTTTTGCCTCAGGGAAATCTTAAAGTCTTAATTTGCTATAAAAACAAATACATATCAGGAATATTTACTTTGAAAAAGGGTCATGAGACTTTGAATGGATTCATACAGGCTAAGTGAATTTTGTTTTTTGGAACAAAATCTGTTTTCTAAAGCAATTATATATTGTATATTCAAAATTGAGGGAAAAGGAAATAATTTTGATTGAACTTCTACTTGGTCACGACCCATGTATTTACATTCTTATTCAATCTTTACAAGCTGTAAGGTACATAACATGATGGCCATTTTTACAGATAAGGAAGCTGAAGTTCAGTCATTTACTCAAGGGTCACCAGCTATCCTAGGTAGAGGCAGGATTAAAACTCTCTTCTCAGGCTGGGCGCGGAGGCTCACGCCTGTAATCTCGGCACTTTGGGAGTCCGAGGCGAGCAGATCACCTGAGGTTGGGAGTTTAAGACCAGCCTGACCAACATGGAGAAACCTGGAGAAACCCCATCTCTACTAAAAACACGAAAGTAGCCAGGCGTGGTGGCACATGCCTGTAATCCTAACTACTTGGGAGGCTGAGGCAGGAGAATCACTTGAACCCAGGAGGTGGAGGCTGCAGTGAGTGGAGATCGTGCCATTGCACTCCAGCCTGGGCAAAAAGAGTGAAACTCCGTCTCAAAACAAACAAACAAACAAACAAACGAAAAAACCTAAAACACCTCCCTTCTCAAAGTGCTGGAGAATTGCTTGAACCCAGGAGGCGGAGGTTGCAGCGAGCCCAGATGGCGCCATTGCACTCCAACCTCGGCAACAAGAGTGAAACTTCGTCTCAAAAACAAAAACAAAAGAAAAAAACCCTTCCTTCTCTCTGATGTAAAATCCCCACCTATTTTACCAGACCTCTGCTACTCACAGTGTTGTCCCTGGAAAAGCAACCTGAGTGTCACCTGGGATCTAGTTAGAAATACAGACTCTCAGGGTGCTCCTCTGGCCTTTAAATCATAGTCTGCATTTTAGTAAGATTCTCACATTACATGTTGAGACTCTTTCATTTGACCACCTATCCTCTGACAGAGACTGCTGGCATAAGTGGTTACCTTCACAGCTGACCTGGTTCCTGGAGGAGCCCCCAGTACCCACAACACATCCCCCACACATAATATCTATACACACAACTACACCAGCTCAAGCCCCAGGCAAAATTCATTAGCACTTCTCTTTATATATGGCACTGGCTTTTTCCATCATCATAATCTCCCAATATCATGTCAATTAATTATACAGGATCTTTTTCTGTGCTGGAGTATACACTCTATAAGAGTAGGATGGATTTTGTCCATTTTGTATCCTGTGTGCCGGTAACTTAAATGACGGTTGATTAAGTGAATAAGTGAAGTACCAGTTCTCTGGGAAACTCTCAGAAATAATCTTTTAGAGACCTTTTAATGGGGCTAGCTTCTGGTCTTTTGGGAATAAAAAGGTGTCGTCAGGTACATATAAATTAAATAATCATTAACATGTCCCTTTCATAATGTCACCGTGTATTTGCATAGGCCATCATTTTAATCACTTTGGAATAAGACTGAGATTTTGTCTTTTTTTAGCATAGATCCAAAAATTCATTAGCCAAATACGAACTCTCAGAGAAAGAAACAAACTCACCTTTCATTTGTGTTGGGTTTAGCAGAATAAGTTATTCTCTGCTTTCTCTCTTAGATTCCCTCTCTTTGGTGGTCACTAGTGGGATCATAAAGGCAGTGTGGAGTGAGGTAACTGGGTAGAACATAAGGATGAACTGTCAAAGATTTTTAAAGAGAAACAAGAGTTTCCACCATTTGCTTTCTCCTCTGTAAACGTGAACCTAAAAAGTCTGGGAAACTCCAAGCCACCTTGGTTTCCTGCACACACACATGACTCTCAGTCAGCAATTCAGTTTGCAGCCGAACTTGTTAACAGAAACAAATGATAACATGATAAAAAGCAATGGAGAGCTGCAATTTATTTTTAAATTATTCAGATAAAAACATGAAAATAAACTAAATAAATATTTATCATACACACATATATATACACACATAGATGGGTAAGGAGAGAGACAGAAAGCACAGCAGCATGTTAATAATTGGTAAATCTGGGGAAGGGTTTAAAGTTGTCATGTAATTCTTTCAACTTTTCTATAGGTTTACTTTTTTTCCCTCAAACAGTGGGGAGAAAGCAACAACACTGGAGAATATTTTAGTCCTTAAAGAGGTGATGATTAGGGCACAGATGTTAAATTTAATGAGATTACTGTATTTATGTTATACAGAATTGTGTCACATCATACAGTAGCTAGCCTATGGCTTTGAACTGAGGACGAATTCATGTATTTTTTGAACAGCAGATTAAAATACTTGAACCCACTGTAAAAACATACTCAGGGTACATCTAGAGGGTTCAGCCTCCCCTGCTCCCACCTCAGGATTCTCGGGGCTGTGTGATACCAGTATTCCCGTATCTCATCCTTTGAAAGGAGGCTCAGGAAAAGGTAGACATGCTGTCCTCTGCATTCTCGCTACTCAGCGTGGTCCAAGGATGGCAACATTGGCATCTCCTGGGAGCTCGTTAGAAATACAGAATATCATTCTGGCCCCAGCCCAACTGCAGCAAAAATGGATTCATATACACATTAGTATTATTCCCATTAGAATAAAAATGGGCTAAAGCCCTTTACCTGAATTAAGTATCTTCATGCTTGCTTATCAATAGATGTAAGATATATAGCCATAAAGATTTCTTAGAACTTAGTCTGTTTTACCAACACACACAAGAGAAATGTTTTTCTAATCAAACATAAGTAGCTACAACTTTTTAAAAAGTTTCTTCAAAACTTTTTTTTAAAATGTGGATGATTTTCCATATATGAACTAAGTATTTCCCATACATTATTCTGATTATGGTTAGTGAAAATTTTAGATTACAGGTCTTATAAACTGAAGCATTTTTTTAAGTCTTGGAAAGTACTATTCTGAAATAGAAAATGATACCAATTAGAACGCTTTAATCACTTTTAAAAATATAAAAGTGTGCTGTGGGTTATAAAAGTTTGTTGAACAATCTTCTTGACATTTATAATTGTCTTCTCAGTTGCCCTTTAACTAGAGATAATTAAAAGAAGTTTGCTAACAGTTCAAGAGTTTAGGAATTCCTTTTCTTTTATTATTCTGCACCATGGCTAAGAAAAAAGAGAGGAAAAAAGGACCTTTCCCTATCGCCTTGCATCTCTAGTCAGAGTTGAAACTCAAGGTCTCAGAGGTAACTTCTTTAAGATAGAGGTAAATGGCATGGAACCCAGGCATCAGAGAAAAGATGTATTTGTTACTTGGAAATTTTAATGAAGTCCCTGTTAGGATGAAAACTGTGGGCCTTCTTCTGAATAAATATGTCCAGTGTAATTATTAAGCTTAAAAAATGCCAAAGGGAAAAAAACCCTCACATTTGGAGCCCTGCATCTGGAAGCTTTTTTCTCTCCCTAGGAAATCTTTGTGGCTCTTTGTTTCTGTCAAGGAGGAAAATGTGCTTGTAAATTTCACCCAAGAGAAAGCGTATCTTTGCATCCACTGCATCAGGAAGGAAAAAATACGACCCAGGGAACAGATGCCAAAAAGCCAGAAACAACCAAAGATTGGAGGGTGGGGTGAGGGGTGGGTGGAATAATGAAAAAAAAACAAAAAAACAAAAAAACAAACCAAAAAAAACCCACCAAACTCAGTCTGGCAGAAAATTTCGGTGAGGAAGTTATCTGTGCCAACCTTAGCCTCAAAGAAAAATACTCCACCCTCTTAAAGCTGCTAAGATGGCAAGGGAGGCAGTGCCTCCACTGGCTGTCCAGACCTCCCCAGACAAATGGATCCCTCCACGACCAGCCAAAGCAAACTTCCCACTACACACCACACATGCATCTGTATGCACAGAGGTCTGTCTTGTGTGCCAGGCAGTTGCTTGTGGTGTGACTTGAAAGGAGCCAGGGAAATCATACCCAACTTTCTCAAACTGCCTGTTCGGGTGCCTAAGATTCAACTAGTATTGGTTCATTCCTTTATAGTAAGAATTACACTCACCCTGAAGTTTTCTTAAAATGTGAACTAAGCCTGGGAGGACATCGCATGCAGACCAAGGCTCTTTTGTATAAAACTTGAGGTCTTAACTCCTACAGAAGGGGACTCTTAAGGTAGTTATTCAAATGAGAAAGAATGACATTCAAACCTCTTCACTGCTGCTACCCATGCCTCCTTATTCCCACTTCTTACAGGGGGTGTGAAATGTTTTTACACAACACAAAGTCATTTACCCTTCAGATGAGGCAGAAAGAGAAAGATGGAGTGACAAAAGTCCTAGCTGCATTGGACATTTTCATTGCTGCATGTTCTGCTTTCAGGCTGTGAGAGAATGGGCTCACCTGGGATTCCTTAGAGCTACATCACCGTGACTGGAATTTCACGCTGTCAAAGGGGCTTCTCCCATTTGTTGGGCAAAACTACTTCTTGTATGGAGGCTCCAGGATATCACCTTATCAGTTAGAAATAGGGTTGCATCTGGGGTTTGAGAAGGTGTCAATTACTCTGCATATTTTAAATGCCCTCTCTTGCAATCTATACAATTAAAATACTTTATGCTCTTAAATCTTTCTTGAGATGAGGCCCAGTGCTTCAACCAGAAACCTCAGAGGAAACATTTATTACATTATTCTAAAGAAACACTCATAATTAATTAAATCTGTAACCTTGAATATTCAATTCCTACTAACATAATTTTAACGATCTCTTCAAAACAATTTATTTTCGTTATCAAGCTTGGTGACCATCTCCTGTGCCTCTTGCCAGGCTCACACTGGCTCGTGCAGAAGGAATTTTTCAGTATGATCCCTGATCTGAGGGGTAAAACATTGAATTGCCTTCAATTTATAGTCAAAGAGAAAAGTTGCTGTCTGCTAGAAGGGTCCATGGGTGCTGCATAAAAAGAGAACAGGAGAGAGAGAGCTTAGCAGTTAGAGGTGAATTGGAGACGCATTCCCTTTGTCACTCGTGTGTAATTCAGACTTGGGGTTGAGTCTTGCACATGTAAGTGTGCTTGCATGTGCACACACACCCCAGGGAATCTCAGGCTAGTGAGTCCGACTGGAAATGATTCATACATATAAGATCAATACATGTTTCAGCTAACAAGCCTCCCAACCTCAGGTTTCTGCAGTGTGCCAGGCAGGAACACCTATAATATCATGCCAGAGATAGCAGTGGAACATTTCAAAGAGCATCTAGGACTATTAAGAAAATCTCAATCCAGGCCGAGTGCCATGGTTCAAGCCTGTAATCCCGGCACTTTGGGAGGCCGAGGTGGGCGGATCACCTGAGGTCAGGCATTCGAGACCACCCTGGCCAACATGGTGAAACCCTGTCTCTACTAAAAATACAAAAATTAGCCAACTGTGGTGATTGCGCCTGTAATCCCAGCCTAATCAGGTGGTTGAGGCAGGAGAATCACTTGAACCCGGGAGGTGGAGGTTGCAGTGAGCTGAGATCGTGCCACTGCACTCCAGCCTGGGCGACAGAGTGGGACTCCAACTAAAACAAAAACAAAAAACAAAAAACAAAAACAAAACTCAATCCAAGTAGAGGATGTCTTTAGCACCTTTCATATCACTTTAATCTCCTCTTCTTGTCTTGTCTGCTGGGGCTTCTTCCTCTCTCCTGGGTTACCTCCTCTGGCCTACACTGAACTGACTCCCTTCCCAGGCCTGCCACCTTCTGATATGTCTCACAATCTTAAGAGACCACTCTCTTTTTCTCGACCTCCTGCTCCTTCCCTTTACTCCATTTTTACCTCTGACTAAACTTCTGTTGTAGTTCTTCTTTGCAAGCAACAGTATAACAACTTGCAATTTACAAAAATATAGATAATTACTTTGACCCCAAACAACCCATCAGGATGATATAATTATTCCTATTTTAACATAAAGACAAAATATAAGGCTCAGAGATTCAGTGTCTTGTTCAAGCTGCAGGGTGAGTGACAAACTCCTGTCTTTCTGTTCCCCACCTGGGTCTTCTACCATCAACCATGCAGGCTGCATAACTACCTGGGCCGTGGTCTCTTCTCAGCACCAGTCCACCAGGCTTCCCAGGGCAGGCTAGAGGCTCCAAAAAGGTGAGAGAAAGTGTCTTTCTTGGACTTCATTTTTTTTTAAGTACGAAAAAAGAAAGAAAAGAAAAAGCAAACAGTAAATTTGCAAATGAGGTAATTTTCTTGATGTTATATCCCTTTATTTTCTCATCATGTGACAGCCTTACCCTACTAGAGATACTCTAGTATCTCCTTAATAATTTTAACTTGACCATGTTTATTAAAGAAGGTATCACGTGGGCCCAAACTGGGTCCCCACTTTGAGAGAAACTCCACCTTGGATGAGTTAATAAGCCTGAGAGCGAAGGAGTGTGTACTTGTGGGTGCAGGTGCCTGGGAGGGAGATTGGAGGGGGATGGGGAAGGAATCCTGGAATCTCTTCCAAGTCTGAGTTCCATGGAGAGAGAGAGGGCTGGATGTAACCCTGAAGGTGTCTTTTTTTCAAACAACTTCCTGAGACTCATGACACAAGCAGTGCTGGTTCAGGGCCCTCCCTGATGGCGAGGTGTAAGGGAGAGATGTGGAGATGGGAAAGAGCCAGGTTTCTGACAGAGGGAGGCTTGAAGGAAACACAGCTCATTTGTGCCTTTGAGGGAAGTGGCAGGAAGGGACATGAAAGCTGCTCTCACCCAGGGGAACAGAAGCCATGGTTCTGAATTCTGGAGGCCTCAGAGGAAAAGGATTGTCAGGAGACTATGTGAGACATCCCAGACTCCCATAAAAATAATGCAGGCACCTTTGAGGTGGGGAAAAGACCTAGGTCTTGCACTTATGCAAGAAGGAGTTTGTGAAATATGACCATCAATGGTAACATGACTTCCATTACTGAGATTAGCAGGTCCTTGGGAGGCTGATAGCTAAATATTGAAAAATCTCAACATAAATACTGGCTAATCCTCCAGTCTTTTTTTCTTTTTTGAGATGGAGTCTCATTCTGTCGCCCAGGCTGAAGTGCAATCTCGGCTCACTGCAACCTCTGCCCCCCGGGTGCAAGCGACTCTTCTGCCTCAGACTCCCGAGTACCTGGGATTACAGGTGCCTGCTAATCCCACGCCCGGCTAATTTTTGTATTTTTAGTAGAGATGGGGTTTCACCATCTTGGCCAGGCTGGTCTTGAACTCCTGACCTCAAGTGATCCACCCACCTCGGCCTCCCAAATCTTCCAGTCTTTCATAAACAATATAACAATTCAACTTTCAAATAACTGTTTTTGAAGAAAAGTATGTATTTGATCTTATAGCATTTACAGGCAAAGATTCCTTGAGAAGACTGCCCATTGGGTGACACCAGCTTCCTCAGTATCCACTGGGCAAGATGCTTAGTGGTGTACGGAGATGAGTCAGCCTCCCCAGGCTGCCTTCCCCTGCCTACGCCTAATAACCTCTGACAAACTCCCTTGTGAAACTGAGGCACTTAGGCAGGAAGTGGGAATTGGCCCATCCCTTAGAGAGTTGAGACAAAGCTGAAAATGAAGGCAAAGTGCATTTTCTATGAGAGTATTTCCTCATTCTTTTTCTCCATGGTGAGTATACATCCAGCCTGAAGACTTAGCTGTGTGAAAGTGCAGAAGCCCTGGGCTCAGGCAACTCTGAATTGAATTCCTATTCTGTACTGTATGAGACCAGGGACAATGGATGGGTAGACAAATGGCACTAACTGTGAAGGACAGGGCCACATTCCAGTTAGGAACTCTGTACTCAGACTGCCCAGGTGTGATTCCCTGCTCTACTACTATTGGGTGACCTGGGGTAAAGTATGCAACCTTGCTGAGCCTCAGCTTTCTCGTCTGTAAAACTCGAAAAGTGGTACTACCTCATAAGGTTGGTATGAGGATGAAATGAGAAAAAAACATACAAGACCCATAACTTCTGGCACGTTTCATGCACTCGATAAACATTACCTATTAACTGTGGCTGCTTTTAATGCACTTGCATTTATTTATACCTGAGCTGACATTATTTTTTTAAGGTTCGTTTATTGTCTTTTAGTTAGGAGTTGCTTTTCTCTTTGAGGAAGTGTTCTTATCTCTTACTGATCCAAGACCCGTAACCCTCTTTCCAAACTCATCTTTAGATTAGGGGTATTCGCTTTCTACTTTTTGTTTGAGTGCTTCCATTGCAATACTATCCTCAGTGCATTCTAATTGTCTTTTTGTTTGTCTCCTTCAGTAAATCACAGAATGTTTGAGGGCCAGGGTTCTTTCCCCCAGAGCCCAGCACATATTTGGGCTTTGCCAAATGCTTTTAGATAAGTGTAGATGTGGACAGATATCCTTATCTAAAAGAGATTTTGATCAGAAAGAGGAGAAAAGCTTTTGAAATCCTACCCTACCATATATATCAGAATATAAGTGCCCTGGGCTAGAGCTGACAAGTGGCCCAAAACACAAGAGACCATGTTTTCTGCCTCGAACAGCAGTGGTTGACCTGCAAGGCTATCTTCCTGGAGCATGTGGCGATCAGGGTGATCTGGGAAGTGCACCCCTAGCCTCAGTATGGCCTCCAGAAAACATAGCTGCGGCCCTGGGGAGTGCCTATGGAAAATGGAGAACTTGGCTGAGGAACGGCAGCTGCCTGAAGAATTGAACCTGACTCCTCCCTCTGCTATTGATTTTCCCTCCAGATAATCTCCCCAGTCCATACCCTCCATTCTGATCCCATAACCTTGGCTTTAGTTCAATTTCTTATCAATTCTTGCCTGAATTACTGACTTGACTCACAGGTCTCTTCCATTCCATTCTCCACAGTGCTTCTGGGGTGAGCATTCTACAACAGATTTGTCCTCACTCCCTGTTCCCTTCCCAACCTGCCCCCAACACCTGCCATTGTTCAAGGTCTATCTGTTGCCCTTTGAATAAAGTCTGAATTCCCTAACAGGGCTCACTAATCCCTTCAGGGTGGGTCTCTGCTATCTGCCCATTTCTCATTCTTCTTCCCCCATTCTCATTCATCTTCCCCCAGTTCCCTACCTGTGAAGTTCCTAAAATGGCTCCTCTTCTAAGTCCATGTTTTTGTATCCTCTAGAATATTCCTTGTCCCCTCCCTTGTTTGTTAGATACAATGAAGTACCTAGATCTGTGCTGCCCAGATATTTCTGCTACCACAGCAATAATCATATTAGATTGTAATGCACTAATTACTGCATTCATTCATCCAACTTCCATCATTTTTTCATTCAAAGCCTTCATGGTTGCTTCCTGCATGCTTTTCTTGATGCTAGGTACACATATATGTAAGCAAGCCAGACAAAATGTCCTGCCATCATGCAGTTTGCATTCTAGTGGGAGGAGACAAATAATAAACACATGAACAATGTATATTCCAATAAAAATGTGATTCAAAAGTCTGAAATCGGAAATGTTCACAAAATTCAAGGTCTTGAATATCTGTGGCTTGCCCATCCCTGAAGTTCCATGACAGGGAAATCTGAAATCTGAAACTTTCTGAGCACTGGCATGACACTCAAGGGAAGTGCTCATTGAAGCTCATTTTGGCTTTTGGATTCGGGGGATGCTTAACTGGTATAGTGCAAATATTCCAAGATCTGACAAAATCTGAAATCCTAGACCTTTCTGGTCCCCAGCATTCTGAATAAGGGATATGCAACCTGTACACATTTTTGAAGGACAAAAAGAGGTTGAAGTGAAATGTTGTTTAGAGAGTGCCACGAGCATATGGGTAGGTGGGAATCAAGGAAGGCCCCTCCGAAGGAGATGATATTTGAGTGGAGTTGAAAAACGCAACGAGAGGAAAGCTACTCACAGAGCAGTGGATGATGTGTTTGGGTAAATCTCCAGGGAAGGGCTCAGCTTGGTGTGCTGGAGGAAGGAAAGAGGCCACTCTCTTTGAAGCACATCATGAGCCCCCACTAGTTATAAGCTCTCCCAAACCCCGGAAAGTATCTCATGCCTTACCACATTTCCAGGGTCTAGCCAAGTGCCCAGAAAATAATAGGCATTAGTAAGTATTTGAATGAGTTGTTATAATCTTAAAGTTATATTTTCCTTGGTATTTAACCATAATAGCTTACAAAGGGCTTATATTTTTGAGAGTTTATATCCTAGGGATTTCTATCCTAGGATAACTTTAATAAAATATTCTTGTCACCATTCCAAGGGGCTTGTTCATGGTTTGTTCTCTGGGCTCTGCTCCACTCTCTGTTGGCTGCCATTTTGGAGAAGATTGCTACCTGGTCCACTGCTGCAAGCCTACCACAGTAGGGAATAAAGTCATGCTGGGCTTAAAATGTACTTTAGTAATGTGGCTAGTTACTGGTTGTTATCAATATAAATATATGAGTACCAACACAGAGAACAAACCAAACTAGAAAACCCCCTGGAAATGGTAAAGGAAGCTGTTGGTTAACAAATGCCTACACAAACAAAAGAAACATTGTGAAGTATGTGGATTTAAGAAAAATAGCACTGTTCTCTCTTAACCACAGCGTTTTTCAGTTGTCTTCTATTAATCAAATTCCCCATAGTCTTTCCATACTAAGATATTCACACTGCATCATCACTTAAAGATTGACAGGATCCTGCAGCCTCACAAGGTCTTGAATATCTGTGGCTTGCCCATCCCTAAAGTTCCATGGTAGCCAATGCTTTTATTTCCTGAATGGGCTCTCCTTCTGAAGCAAAACTTTTCTAGAAGGAAACAACTTTTACTTCAAATGGTGTGATTGTTATTTTTACAAATTCTCTCCAACTGAGCATCTTTCTGGAACAGTTTTCAAACTTGTTCCTCAGTAATAACTTTTTCTTTCTTTTTTTTTTTTTTGAGACAGAGTTTCTCTCTTGTTGCCCAGGCTGGAGTGCAACGGCACAATCTTGGCTCACTGCAACTTCTGCCTCCCAAGTTCAAGCGATTCTCCTGCCTCAGCCTCCCGAGTAGCTGGGATTACAGGCATGCATCACCATGCCCGGCTAAGTTTTTATATTTTTAGTAGAGACGGGGTTTCTCCATGTTGGTCAGGCTGATCTCGAACTCCCCACCTCAGGTGATCCACCTGCCTCGGCCTCTCAAAGTGCTGGGATTACGGGCGAGAACCACCACACCCGGCAATAATAACTTTTTCTCCTTGATGCTTAATGAGAACTTCTCCTGAATTACTCTCATATAAAAGAGATCTATGGTGCTATCAATTGCCTTAGCTGATTCCACTTAACCTCTTGAGCCTGCTGATGATTGAATCAGTGGCTTAATAATGTGTTATTTTTAAAAGAACAGATTTATATTTACTTACAGCAAACACATTAAAGTAATCTTGATTCAATGCAAAGCTTATTAAACATTCCTTTGTTTGGAGAATTTGGTCTCTTTGGACAATATGAGTTCAACAGAAGCTCCAGTTTGAGTCTAAGTAGACAGAACCTACCAGAAAACAACTTGGAGATGGGCTGAGAGGTGTTGTGGGAGAGACCTCACTGTAAGGGAAAAAAAGAGTCGGCAATAAGAAACTTTAGACTTTGGAGGGGAGGGACAGTTCCGAGTTTAGCATGTGGCTGTTAAATCACTTAGATTTAACTCCAAGCCCAAATCCCACTGGAATGATCTTTGATACCACAGAGAGAGAGAGAAAGCTCAGGGCTATCAGAAAGAAAAACCAAGAGCAGCTTCATTTGCCGTGCTGAAGCAGAACTGGCTGGCTGTACAATGGCAAGAGAGGAACGAAGCATTCTCGCCCACTTCCCAGTACAACATCTTGCAACTTTTAGCTCTTGACATAAATGGCTTTGTTGCCTCTGCTATCACGGAGACAGTGGGACCCACAGATACGGCAGCCTGCAGTGGCGGTCCAGTGGATAATGACACAACAGGAGTAGCACAAGCAGAGGGAGAGCGCTTCATGAGCACATACCACACCTCTCCAAGGCCAACTCGACCTACATGAGGGGCACAGGCAACTGAGGTCCTGCAGATGCAGGCGGGGTGAGTGAGGGCCCATAGAATTTGGGTTTGGATCATTAATGTGACTCCATTAGTACCCTCACGGAATAAACACAATCCTGAATTTTGTGCTGGGGCAAAAGGAAGGAATGCCTAAAGTGAAATTAAAGGACAACATGATTTTGTGTTGGTTTCTTTTTTTCACTCAAAATTGGATAGTTAGATGAAAATACTTTTAGACTATAATCTGGCCATGAGTAATGCATGCTTTTATGTTTTGACTGAATAAAAAGCAAATCGAGGATGTCAACTAGTATCTCCAACTGGTGTCTCCTAGTATCTTCCTTGTAGAGCAAACTAATTACAGAATTTATAGTTGCAAGCACATTTTACCGAGTTTTTCTGGTTTCATATTTTCTACTTCCTAAAAAGTGCTTCTAATGTACTTGTGATGTAGATTTCTTCTTCATGCAGAACATACTTTAATATTCTTGTTTTTGGCAAGATTTTACATGAACATGTTACTTCCAGGAAGTGACTTATTAAAAATATTAATAGAAACACCTTTATAGTATTCGTAGGTGTTTAGTCTCTAAAATTATGTCAGATTGGACTTTAAAAAATCCTATAATTGCTAAGATTAGCACATTAAGAAACTCGACTTTTATTCTTTGTATCAAATAAGCACTATGAAAATGCATAGAAGATAAAGGGGATAACTTAAAAATGTAATATTTATTGATTTTTTTTAAATTATAAAAAGAGCATTCTGATTGTAGGATATTTAGAAAAAATTGAAACACATTAATAAGAAAACAAACCACAAACCTGATAATTCTAACCTGTTAGAGACGCACTGTTACAATTTGGGAGTGTTTCATTTTTTAATTTTTCTATACATATTATGCATACATATAATAGAACAGGATAATATTGCATGATGGTTTTGATATCTGGTTGTTTTCCCATTAACTATATTTTCTCAGCTCTTATTTCTGTAGTAGTTTGGAAAATATAATTACATATTTTCTTTCAGCGATTATCTTTTTGTTATTAAAAGCATTTTGAAATAATTTTATCTCTGTTTATCAAAGCCAATAACGTAACTGTATCTATTAACTACTGTCTGTGTGTAATGAGAAACCTTGCAGGCTTTTATTGTCCGGACTGTCTCATCCCACTTCACAATTTTGATTGAAGTAATCTGGGATATAGACCTAACTTATTATTGTTGTTTTACATTATTAACTTTTCTTCAAGACTTATTTTTGAAATTTATTTTGTTTTGTGCTTAGATTCACGACAGTTCTTAAGACTTTATTGTAGGTTTAACTAGTTTCCATTTCTTCCTAGTATCTCTTTATGGTATGATGTCCTAATTCTTGAGTTCTTTATCTTGATCTTTCCCTAGGTAGGCTGGATTGTATCACTAAACTGTGAGGATGATACTTTCTGAGCACTGGTTTAAAGAAGAATGTTGGTCTTTCCTACAAACAACCTTTTGACTAAGAACATAATTTCTCTCTCTCTCTCTCTCTTTTTTTTTTCTTAAGACATAGAGTCTCTCTATGTTGTCCAGGCTGGAGTGCAGTGGCCACTCACTGGCACGGTCATTGTGTACTACTACAGCCTTGAACCCCTGAGCTCAAGCCACCCTCCTGCCCCAGCCTCCTGAGTATCTGAGACTCAAGTGTGTGTCACCGTGTCTAACTGAGTATATAATTCTAAATTCTTTTCCTTCCCAGTGTGGAAGCCAGTTTACTGCTGCTATTTAGTTATCTGGGGGATAGATCTATAGTTACTCTTCATTTAGGTTAGTGGTTCTCAATTCTGGCTGCACATTCAAACCACTGGGGGAGATTTTTTAGAAATCTCAGTGCCCAAGCTCCTTCCCAGGATAATTAAATCAGAATATCTAAGGATGGGGTCCAGACACGTTATTTTTTAAATTTAAATTAAATTAAATTTTTTATTTATTATTATTTTTCAAGACAGAGTCTTGCTGTCGCCCAGGCTGGGGTGCAGTGGTGCGATCTCGGCTCACTGGAACTTCCGCTCCCTGGTTTAAGTAATTCTCCTGCCTCAGCCTCCAGAGTAGCTGAGGTTACAGGTGTGCGCCACCACACCCAGCTAACTTTTGTATTTTAAGTAGACATGGGGTTTCAGCATGTTGGCCAGGCTGGTCTCAAACTCCTGACCTTGTGATCCACCCACCTCAGCCTCCCAAAGTGCTGGGATTACAGGCGTGAGCCACCATGCCTGGCCAGACCCATTATTTTTTAAAGGCTCAACCAATGATTTTAATGTGTAGTCAAAGCCATGGAATACTGCTTAAGACATAAACTGTGTTTTCCTATCTGGACATTTATAGAATTTTTTTTTTGTTTTCCTTAAATCTTGAAACATTCAACAGGATATGTCAGGTGCTAATATCTCTTCATTAATTCTGCCTGATAACCTTTAATTTTATAAGCTCAGCAATTTCCCTCTATTGTTTATTTGAATATTGCTTTCATCACATTCATTCTATTTTTTCTTTCTTGGATCCTTAGAACTTGTTGATTGGATATCTTAGTCTGTTTGGGCTGCTACAACAAAATGCCATAAACTGGGTGGCTTATAAACAACAGAAATATACTTGTGTTTTCCGTACAATCTCTTTCTTATTCCAGTATTTATGGATACTGGAAGTCCAAGATCAAGGTGCCCATAGTTTGGATATCTGGTGAGGGGCTGTTTCCTTGTTCATAAATTTCTTCTCCTGCCAGGGTGCGGTGGCTCACGCCTGTAATCCCAGCACTTTGGGAGGCCCAGGCGGGAAGATCACCTGAGGTCGGGAGATCGAGACCAGCCTGACCAACATGGAGAAACCCTGTCTCTACTAAAAATACAAAATCAGCAGGGCGTGGTGGCGCATGCCTGTAATCCCAGCTATTCGGGAGGCTGAGCCGGGAGAATCGCTTGAACCCAGGAGGAGGAGGTTGCAGTGAGCGGAGATTGTGCCACAGCACTCCAGCCTGGGTAACAAGAGTGAAACTCCGTCTAAAAAAAAATTCTTCTCCCTGTGTCCTCATGTGGTGGAAGGGGGAAGAGGTCTTTCTGGGTCTTATTTCATACACTAATCCTATGATGGTGCTGCCTTCATGACTTACTCACATACCAAAGGCTCCACCTCATAATGCCATCACCTCGGGGGTTAGGGTTCCATAAATGAATTTGGGGAGACACAAACATTCAGTCTGTAGCACTGGAATTCTTGGATCCTCTCTCATATTTTTCTTTTTTCTCCCCCCCTTTTTTTTCCTGAGACAGAATCTCTCTCTGTCACCTAGCTGGAGTGCAGTGACATGAAAATAGCTCACTGCAGCCTCAATCACTTGGGCTCAAGTGATGTTCCCACCTTAGCCTCCCAAGTAGCTAGGACTACAGGTGTGTACCACCACACCTGGTTAATTTTTAATTTTCCTGTAGGGACTGGGTCACCCTATGTTGCCCGGCTGGTCTCAAACTCCTGTGTTGCCCAGGCTAGTCTCAAACTCCTGGGCTTAAGCAATCCTCCTGCCTTGGCCTCCCAAAGTGCTGAGATTACAAGTGGAAGCCACCATGCCTGGCTTATATTCTTATGTGTTAATTTTGTTTTCTGTGGTTGTCAATCTGCTGTCTGTTGCCTTTGACAAGATTTATAATTCTGCTGTTGTGTTTTCCATACAATCTCCTTCTTATTTCAGGATGTTTCTTTTTTGTGGGCACTTGCTCTAGTTTTATAAATACCAACTTCCTTTGAATTTTGTTGAACATATACATGAGAAATCCCTTACAATGTCTTGCTATTATTATCAGAATACATTTCCACCGATTATGCATAAGCTAGTCTTTTGCATTTTACTGTGGTTTCATTTATGTTTAACGGAGCCTTGCCTTGATCAAAATTTAGTCAGACTCCTTCGAACTCTCTTCTCCACCAGGCCCTGACTTTTGGACTTCCGTGTTCATCTCTGCATTGTCCAATTTTAGCAAGAATTCTGTTGTCAGTTTATCAAGGATCCTCTATTCTCAATAGGTGATGACCCATGATACCTGACTGGGTTCCTCATCCTCCACCATCTCCCAGGTGATATCTAATCATCTCGTCCTGCCTTTAGCAAGATTCCTGTTAGATTGGTTTCAGTCAGAATGTTCCCTTGCCTCTGATGTTTCCTCTTAGTAATTTTCTACCTACTGACCTGCACTCAGCTCCTTGGCTATAAATTCCCACTTTTCCGTGTCATATTCTGATCTGAGCCATATATCTCGTCACTACTACAAAACTCCATTGTATAGCACCTCCCTTGAATAGACGATTCCTTATTGTTCTTTAGCGAGTGACCTGAATAATTTTTTTTCTGTAATATGTTCTCAGTTTGGGTGTTTATAAAGCAGTAAATATTGGTTCTGGGTCTTTTCTGGATTATAGACCCCGTTGAGAACTTAATTAATGGTCACATGATAACATTTGCATATAACTTCATAGACAAACTGCTCAAAGCCCTGTGATGTCTACATGAAGGCCTGTGGACCCCATGATAGACTCTTGATCTAAATTAACTTCTATCCTTGCTCAATATTGACTTATAATGAAATGGCAGGTGAGAGAGACTGGCTCAGAAATTGGACAAGCACTCCCGCTCACATCTTTCAAGTCCATGGTGTTATCGCCACTGTTCTGGACTTGGTTTGGTGAAACCCCTCTAAGGTAAAGGGTTTTAGTGGTGTCCTGACAGGGTGTTTGTTAATTTCCAGTCACTCATTCTTGCCCTGTAGGTGTAATGGACCGCCTAATAGCTAGAAGAAATCATTTGGATTTTCTAGCAAGTGGTCACATATCTCCATCTTCTAACTTTTTACTTAGAAATTTAAGTGGCAATGACTATCAGGAAATTTAAGAATGCAATGATTCCATCAAGAAAGGAAGCATCACTCTTTTTCCAAACACGTGCACAGCCACCACCTCTAGACCCCGTGATGTCCGTGAGGTGATGTGCTCTTCTGCCCCTTTACCTTTTTCATTCTGTAGATGCAGCTCCGTTGGATTCAGGGATCTAATAAAGGAAGGAAGAAGTGTGAGACAAAATTATTTTCCTTCCTTTGCAGGTAAAAGAAATTTTTTTCTGCCTGGCTTTTTACAGGAGTCTTTCTTTTACCTTGAAATTCAGACTTCCATCGGGATATGCCTAGGTGCAGATTTTTCATTTATTATTTTCCTGCTATCTAGAAAGCTATTTTGATCTGCAGATTAAAAGGTATCTTCGGCTTATAATTGATTTCTTTATTTGTGGTCTTAAGTATTGCTTCACTTCCATTTGTTCATTCTCTGTATTCTGCATCACATATCTCTCCAACGGCATCTCTGTCTTATCTGGCTTCCCTTTTTAAAACAAATTTAATTTTTAATTTTTGTGGGTACATAGTAGGTATATATATTTATAGAGTACATGAGATATTTTGATATACATATGCAATGCGTAATAATCATGTCATGGGAAATAGAGACTCCATTACCTCCAACATTTATCCTTTGTGTTGCAAACAGTCCATACTCTTTTAGTTATTTTAATATGCAAAATTAAATTATTATTGACTATAATCACTCTGTTGTGCTATCAAATACTGGATCTTATTTATTAGTTAGATTTTTTTCAAACCCATTAGTCATCTGCACTTTCATCCCACTTCCCTACTACCCTTCTCCAGCCTCTTAGTAACCATCTTTCTACTCTCTATCTGTTTTTAGCTCCTACAAATAAGTGAGAACATGTGAAATTCGTCTTTCTGTGCCTGACTTATTTCACGTAACATAATGACCTCCAGTTTCATCTATGTTATTGCAAATGATAGGATCTCATTCTTTTTTTTTGGGGGGGGGGGTGAGGGAGGGATACATATATATTATCAAAGGATTTAAAAAGACTTTTTAAAATTGTTCATTTCCACAGGTTTTTGGGGAACAGGTGGTATTTAGTTACATGAGTAAGATCCTTAATGGTGATTTGATGCACCCATCACTCTAGCAATATACACTGAACCCAATTTGTAGTCTTTTATCCCTCACTGCCTTCCTACCCTTTCCTGCTGAGTCCCCGAAGTCCATTGTATCATTCTTAGGCCTTTGCAACCTCATAGCTTATCTCCCACTTATGAGTGAGAACATACAATGTTTGGTTTTCCATTCCTGAGTTACTTCACTTAGAATAATAGTCTCTAGTCCCATCCAGGTTGCTGCAAATGCCACTAATTCATTCCTTTTTATAGCTGAGTAGTATTCCATCATATATATATACACCACAGCTTTTTATCCACTTGTTGATTGATGGGCATTTGGGCTGGTTCCACTTTTTCTTTTTTTTTTGAGATGGAGTCTTGCTTTGTCACCAAGGCTGGAGTGCAGTGGCACCATCTTGGTTCACTGCAACCTCCACCTCCCAGGTTCAAGAGATTCTCCTGCCTCAGCCTCCCATGTAGCTGGGACTACAGGCGCCTGCCACCATGCCCAGCTAATTTTTGTATTTTTAATAGAGACAGGGTTTCACCATGTTGGCCAGGCTGGTCTCAAACTCCTGACCTCAGGTGATCCACCTGTCTCGGCTACCCATAGTGCTGGGATTACAGGCATGAGCCACTGTATGTGTCCTTGGTTCCACATTATCGTAATTGTGAATTGTGCTGCTATAGACATGCACGTGCAAGTGTCTTTTTCATATAATGACTTCTTTTCTGCTGGGTAGATACCTAGTAGTGGGATTGCTGGATCAAATGGTAGATCTACTTTTAGTTCTTTAAGGAATCTCCACAATGTTTTCCATAGTGGCTGTACTAGTTTATATTCCCACCAGCAGTGTAGAAGTGTTCCCTTTCCACCGCATCCATGCCAATGTCTATTATTTTTTGATTACTTGATTATGGCCATTTTTGTGGGAGTAAGGTGGTATTGCATTGTGGTTTCAATTTGCTTTTCCCTGATCATTAGTGATATTCAGCATTTTTTCATGTGTTTCTTGGCCATTTGTATATCTTCTTTTGAGAACTGTCTACTCATGTCCTTAGCCTGCTTTTTGATGGGATTGTTTGTTTTTTTCTTGCTAATTTGTTTGAGTTTTGTAGATTCTGGATATTAGTACTTTGTCTGATGTATAGATTGTGAAGATTTTCTCCCATTCTGTGGATTGTTTGTTTATTCTGCTGACTGTTCCTTTTGCTGTGCAAAAGCTCTTCAGTTTAATTAAGCCCCATTTATTTTCGTTTCTGTTGCATTTGCTTTTGGGTTCTTGGCCACAAAATCTTTGCCAAGCCAATGTCTAGAAGAGTTTTTCTGATGTTATCTTCTAGAATTTTTATAGTTTCAGGTCTTAGATTTAAGCCCTTGATCCATCTTGAGTTGATTTTTGTATAAGGTGAGAAATGAAGATCCAGTTTTATTCTTCTACATGTGGCTTGACAATTATCCCAGCACCACTTGTTGAATAGGGTGTCCTTTCCCCACTTTATGTTTTTGTTTTCTTTGTCCAAGATCAGTTGCCTGTAAATATTTGGGTTTATTTCTGGGTTCTCTATTCTGTTCCATTGGTCTATGTGCCTACTTTTATACTAGTACCATGTTGTTTTGGTAACTATGGTTTGATAGTATAGTTTGAAATCAGATAATGTGATGCCTTCAGATTTGTTCTTTTTGCCAAGTCTTGCTTTGGCTGTGCAGGCTTTTTTTGGTTCCATATGAATTTTAGGATTTTTTTTTATAGTTCTGTGAAGAATGATGGTGATATTTTGATGGGAATTGCATTGAATTTGTAGATTGCTTTTGGCAGTATGATCATTTTCACAATATTGATTCTATCCATCCATGAGCATGGGATGTGTTTCCTTTTGTTTGTGTCATCCATGACTTCTTTCAGCAGTACTTTGTAGCTTTCCTTGTATAGGGCAATATACCTCCTTAGTTAGGTATATTCCTAAGTATTTTATTTTTTATTTTTGCAGCTATTATAAAAGGGGTTGAGTTCTTGATATGATTCTCAGCTTGGTCACTGTTGCTGTATAGCAGAGCTACTGATTCGTGTATATTAATTTTGTATCCTGAAACTTTGCTGTATTCATTTATCAGTTTTAGGAGCTTTTTGGAGGAATCTTTAGGGTTTTCTAGGTATACAATCATATCATCAGCAAACAGTAACAGTTTAACTTCCTCTTTACCAATTTCGTTGCCCTTTATTTCTTTCTCTTGTCTGATTGCTCTGGCTAGCACTTCTAGTACTATGTTGAATAGAAATGGTGAGAGTGGGCATCCTCGTCCTGTTCCACTTCTCAGAGGGAATGCTTTCAACTTTTCCCCATTCAGTATTATGCTGGCTGTGGTTTTGTCATAGATGGCTTTTATTACATGAAATATGTCCCCTGTGTGCTGATTTTGCTGAGGATTTTACTCATAAAGGATTTTGTCAAATGCTTTTTCTCCATCTATTGAGATGATCATGTGATTTTTATTTTTAATTCTGTTTATGTGGTGTATCACATTTATTGAGTTACATATGTTAAACCGTCCTTTGATCCTTGGTATGAAACCCACTTGATCATGGTGCATTATCTTTTTGATATGCTGTTGGATTCGGTTAGCTTGTATTTTGTTAAGGATTTTTGCTTCTATGTTCATTAGGGATATTGGTCTGTAGTTTTCTTTTTTTGTTATGTCCTTTCCTGATTTTGGTATTAGAGTGATACTGGTTTTATAGAATGATTTAGGGAGGATTCCCTCTTTTTCTATCTTGTAGAATAGTGTCAATAGGATTGGTAACCAATTATTCTTTGAATGTGGTAGAATTCAGCTGTAAATCCATATGGTCCTGGACTTTTTTTTTGTTGGCAATTTTTTTAATAACTATTTCAATCTCACTGCTTGTTATTGGTCTGTTCAAGATTTCTAATGCTTTCTGATTTAAGCTAGGAGGGTTGTGCCTTTCCAGGAATTTATCCATCTCCTCGAGTTTGTCTAGTTTATGTGCATAAAGGTGTTCATAGTAGCCTTGAATGAACTTTTGTATTTCTGTGGTGTTGGTTGTAAAATCTACTGTTTCATTTCTAATTGAGCTTATTTGGGTCTTCTCTCTTCTTTTCTTGGTTAATCTTGCTAATGGTCTATCAATTTTGCTTATCTTTTCAAAGAACCAGCTTTTCATTTCGTTTATCTTTTGCATGCTTTTTGTTCACTTCAACTTCATTTAATTCTGCTCTGATCTTGGTTATTTCCTTTCTTCTGCTGGGTTTGGGCTTGGTTTGTTTTTGTTTCTCTAGTTCCTTGAGGTGTGACCTTAGATTGTCTGTTTGTGCTCTTTCAGACTTTTTGATGATGTAGGCATTTAAGGCTATGAACTTTCCTCTTAGCACTGTCTTTGCTGTATCCCAGAGGTTTTGATAGGTTGTGTCACTATTATCATTTAAGTTTGAATAGTTTTTTAATTTTCATTTTGATTTCATTGTTGACCCAGTAATCATTCAGGAGCAGGTTATTTAATTTCCATGTATTTGTATTGTTTTGAAGGTTACTTTTGGAGTTGATTTCCAGTTTTATTCCACTCTCTCAGTGGTCTAAGAGAGTACTTGATATAATTTAAATTTTCTTAAATTTATTAAGACTTGTTTCATGGCCTATCATATGGTCTATCCTGGAGAAAATTCCATGCACTGATGAACAGAATGTATATTCTGTGGTTCTTGGGTAGAATGTTCTGTAAATATCTGTTAAGTCCATTTTTTCCAGGGTATAGTTTAAATCCATTGTTTCTTTGTTGACTTTCTTCTTGATAACCTGTCTAGTGCTGTCAGTGGAATATTGAAGTCTTCCACTGTTATTGTGTTGCTGTCTATCTCATTTCCTAGGTCTAGTAGTAATTGTTTTATATATTTTGGAGCTCCAGTGTTAGGTGCATATGTGTTTAGGATTGTGATACTTTCCTATTGGACAAGGCCTTTTATCATTATATAATGTCCCTCTTTGTCTTTTTTAACTGCTGTTGCTTTAAAGTTTGTTTTGTCTGATATAAGAATAGCTCCTGCTTGCTTTTGGTGTCCATTTGCATGGAATGTCTTTTTCCACCCCTTTACCTTAAGTTTATGTGTGATAGGTGAGTCCCTTGAAGGCAGCAGATACTTGGTTGGTGAATTCTTATCCATTCTGCAATTCTGTATCTTTTAAGTGGAGCATTTAGGCCACTTACATTCAATGTTAGTATTGAGATGTGAGTTACTATTCCATTCATTGTGCTATTTGTTGTCTATATACCTTGGGTTTTGTTTGTTTGTTTGTTTTATAGGTCCTGGGAGGTTTGTGCTTTAAAGAGAGTCTATTTCGATGTGTTTCCAGGATTTGTTTCCAGATTTAGAGCTTCTTTTAGCAGTTCTTATAGTGCTGGCTTGGTAGTGGCAACTTCTCTCAGCATTTGTTTGTCTGCAAAAGACTGTATTTATCCTTCATTTATGAAGCTTAGTTTTGCTGGATGCAAAATTCTTGGCTGATAATTATTTTGTTTAAGGAGGCTGAAGATAGGGCCCCAATACCTTCTAGCTTGTAGGGTTTCTACTGAGAAATCTGTTGTTAATCTGATAGGTTTTCCTTTATAGGTTACCTGGTGCTTTTGCCTCACAGCTCTTAAGATTCTTTTCTTTGTCTTGACTTTAGATAACCTGATGACAATATGCCTAGGTGGTGATCTTTTTGTGATGAATTTCCCAGGTGTTCTTTGAGCTTTTTTTTTTTTTTTTTTTTTTTTCCAAGACAGTGTTTCACTCTTGTTGCCCAGGCTGGAGTGCAATGGCACGATCTTGGTCTTTGAGCTTTTTGTATTTGGATGTCTAGGTCTCTAGCAAAGCCAGGGAAGTTTTCCTTGATATTCCCCTAAATATGTTTTCCAAACTTTTAGATTTCTCTTCTTCCTCAGGAATGCCAGTTATTTTTGGGTTTGGTCATTTAACATAATCCCAAACTTCCTGGAGACTTTGTTCATTTTATTTCAGTCTTTTTTCTTTGTCTTTGTTGGATTGAGTTAATTCAAACACCTTGTCTTTGAGTTCTGAAGTTCTTTCTTCTGCTTGTCTGATTCTATTGCTGAGACTTTCCAGAACATTTTGCATTTCTCTAAGGGTGTTCTCTATTTCCTAAAGTTGTGATTGTTTTGTATTTATGCTATCTATTTCACTGAAGATTTCTCCCCTAATTTCTTGTATCATTTTTTTATTTCCTTAAATTGGACTTCACCTTTCTCTGGTGCCTCCTTGATTAGCTTTATAATCAACCTTCAGAATTCTTTTTTTAGGTAAATCAGGGATTTTTTCTGGGTTTGAACCCCTTGCTGGTGAGCTAGTGTGATTTTTGGGGGGTTGTTAAAGAACCTTGTTTTGTCATATTACCAGAATTATTTTTCTGATTCCTTCTAATTTGGGTAGGCTATGTCAGAGGGGAGATCTGGGGCTCAAGGCTGCTATTCAGATTCTATTGTCCCACATTGTGTTCCCTTAATGTCTTCCCTTTTTCCTAGGGATGTGGCTTCCTGAGAGCTGAGCTGTAATGGTTGTTACTTCTTTTCTGGATCTAGTCACCCAGCAGGGCTACCAGGCTCTGAGCTGGTACTGGATGTTGTCTGCACAGAGTGCTGTGATGTGAACTGTCTTCAGGTCTCTCTGCCATGGATACCAGCACAGTATTTGGGTACACAGGAGCAATCCGCTTCCTTCAGAAGGTCTGTCAATTCTCTCGGCTCTCCTGGTATATTCATGCAATAGTTCTGGAGCAAAAGTTCACAATGCAAGTCCCCACATGCTGCTCTGTCCGTCTGAATGGGAGCTGAAATCCAGTCATGCCTCCTATTCACCATTTTCCTTCTTTCAGTTGATCTCATTCTTTTCTATAGCTGAATAGTACTCCATTATGTATATGTACCACATTTTCTTTATCCTTTCATCTGTTGATGGACACTTAGGTTGCTTTCAAATGTTGGCGATTGTGAATAGTGCTGCAGTAAACATCGGGAGTGAAGATATCTCTTTGATATACTAATTTTCTTTCTTTGGGTTTTGTTTTCCCTTTCATTTTTCTTTTTCTTTTTTCTTTTTTTTAGAGGGAGTCTAATCTTGCTTTGTTGCCCAGGCTGGAGTGCAGTGGTGCGATCTGGACTCACTGCAACCTCTGCCTCCTGGGTTCAAATGATTGTCCTGCCTCAGCCTCCCGAGTAGCTAGGATTACAGATGCGCACCACCACACCCAGCTAATTTTTGTATTTTCAGTAGAGACAGGGTTTCACCATGTTGGCCAGGCTGGTCTTGAACTCCTGACCTCGTGATCTGTGCGCCTCAGCCTCCCAAAGTGCTGGGACTACAGGCATGAGCCACTGTGCCCAGCCTTGTTTTCCTTTTCTTATTTACTACAGGAAAATTAATTAAGCTTGTCAACCATATTAATGATTCTGTTTTCTGCCTTGTTAATTCTGTTCTCCACTGCTTCCAGTTCAGCACGCAGTCTCACAATTGCATAGTTATTTTGAAAATGTTCTTTCTTTAGTCACCTGGTTCTCCTTTTAGTCACCTGATTTCCCTTTCTAGCTTAGCTAATTCTTTTCTCAACTCTGCCTGTTACTGATCAATTTATCTTTTATCACTTTTTTCAGAGTGTACATGCATTTTGAAAATTAAGAGCACAATATAGATGCATTTAAAAATTTATGTTTCTAAAGTAGATAGGTTTTTATAGTCTGATCTTCCTCCACCTTTTGCATGCTATGTTTTCTTTCCTTTACACTACAAATTCTCCTGTGGGGTTATGGCAGAATCTGCTAGTTGTCCCTGTGTGTTCCAGCCTCCCTGGTAGCTAGATGTGTTCATAAAACTAAGTTCCAGGGGCTCACGCCTGTAATCCCAACACTTTGGGAGGCTGAGGTGGGCAGATCACTTGAGGTTAGGAATTCGAGACCAGCCTGACCAACATGGTGAAACCCAGTCTCTACTAAAAATACAAAAACTAGCTGGGCATGGTGGTACATGCCTGTAATCCCAGCTACTCAAGAGGCTGAGACAGGAGAGTAGCTTGAACCCGGGAGGCAGAGGTTGCAGTGAGCCAAGATCATGCCACTGCACTCCAGCCTGGGCAACAGAGCGAGACTCTGCCTCAAAACAAAAACCAAACCAAACAAAAACTAAGTTTCAGCCAAAGGGATATAAATAGATATGCTATGTACAACTTCTGAGGAGTGTCTTTAAATAGAAAGAGGAGTGCCTTTTTGCCATATTTTCTTGTAGCTGGAATTCAGATGTAATGACTATAGCTCAAGCAGCCTTCTTCCACAGTGAGGTAGAAACCAAGTGCCAAGGATGGCAGAATAGTAAAATAGAAGCATCCCAGGTCCTTGACACTATTGAGCACTGTAGCAGCTCTCAACTGCCTGCTTTTGAACTTCTTTTAGATGACAGTGAACTAAATTTCATCTTGGTTAAGTTAGTATTATTTTGGGTTTTCTGTCACAGCTAAACCTAGCCCTAGCTATGTGAGAGTTTTCTGTTTATTTATAATTAAGCAATGAAAATTTGTTCTAGTTATCTCCCCCACAAAAGCAGGCGAAGGGATTTTTAAAAACCTCTTCCTTCTTTTTGGGGGAATACTTTTAGGGATCTCTTAAATCTGAAAAGGAGGATTGTGACTAGTTTCTTAATCTAACAACTTCAGGGAGTCAGGACCATGTATAAACCTGGAAAGGCACCTCTTTCCTACATCTCCACCCTTTTTTAGTAAGACTGTAACTTACATATCATAACGTTAAGTGTACGGCTTATTGAATTTTAAAGTATGTATATATTCATATAATCACTATCCAGATATAGAAAGAAAATATTTCCTGCAACCCAACAGGGTCCCTCTTGCCCTTCCCTAGTCAAATCCCCAAGCTCTTCTGACCTCTGTCACTGCAGATTATATGTGACAGCTTTAGACTTCATGTAATTGCAATCAGAATGTACCTGTGCACAGAATGTACCTGTGGCAGTCATAGAGGTGTATTGCTCAGATCTCCTTCAAGAGAGAATCTGTTATAAGAGACTGCAGTTGGTAAACAGTCTCCAAATGTATGAGCTTCAGCATCTGTCTTGGCTTTCGAGACATGACAATGTGCTCTCTGGGTAGCAGCAGTCAATGATTGAGCATGGATATGGTATAAAGACTTCCCATTTCTGGCCAGTGAGTGATTCCTATATGGATAACTTTGTATTGAAGCTTCTCATTGCACTGGAAAAGACTTTCCCAGAGCTGTACTGGAGGCTGAGGCCCTTTCTACCCAATTCTCCATCCTTCACCCTCTAAATGTCAGGCTTAATGGCTTTCCATGTCCACTTATATTCCCAGCAAATCTTTCGCACTTCTAACTCAAATTTGGCATCTGTTTCTTGAAGGACTCAACCATTGTCCTATTTTTTGAGTCTGGTTTCTCTTGCTCAACATTACATTGATGAAATTCATCCATGGTTTTGCATATGCAGGTAGTTTGTTCTTTTTCTCATGTAATCTAAAAATGGTATACTTAGGCCAGGCATGGTGGCTCATGCCTGTAATCCCAGCACTTTGGGAGGTAGAGGTGGGCAGATCACCTGAGGGCAGGAGTTCGAGACCAGCCTGGCCAACATAGTGAAACCCCGTCTCTACTAAAAATACAAAAATCAGCTGGGTGTGGCAGTGTCCGGCTGAGGCACTAGAATCGCTTGAACCCAGGAGGCAGAGGTTGCAATGAGCTGAGATGGTGCCACTGCATTCCAGCCTGGGCGACAAAGTGATACTCTGTCTCAAAAAAAAAAAATACATATATATACACACACACACTAGTTCTACTATTAGTTTTTGACATCATAAATAAAGCACCTGTGACCATGCTTGCACATGTATTTTGATAGATTTAAACACTAGTTTTTGTAGGTTACATACCCAAAAGTGAAATTCTGGGTAATAGATTATACATATGTTTAGTGTTAGTCAAACGTTCTTCCAAAGTTTTTAAAAAATCTGTTTACACTTTTACCAACAATTTTTGAGAATTCCAGTTGCCCTACGTCTTTGTCAACACTTCTTACTGTCAGCTATTTGTCTTTCCCTGTGACTGGTGCTTATTCACTTTTTGGTCAACCATCCATACGCTCTCCACTTCTGTAAAGTGTGTGTGTTAAAGTTTTTTTTTTTTTAACTTATTTTTAAGTGGTTTTTAGTTATAGTCTTACTGATTTGTGGAAATTTTTTATACAGTCTGGGTATGAGTCCGTGGTTGGTTAAATCTATTACAAATATCTTCTCCCAGCCTGTGGCTTGCCTTGTCACCCTCCCCATATTGTCTTTTGATAAACATAAATTCTTCATTTTAATGAAGTTCAATTTTTTTCAATCTTTTATTTTCTGGCTAGTGTTTTTGGTGTCCTATTTAAGAAACTTTGCCTAAACAAAGATCATAAAGACATTATGTTTTCTTCTAGAAGCCTTATTTATTTATGTTTTACATTTAAGTCTATGGTCCATTTCAAATTAATTCTTACATATTATGTGAGGAGGGGTCAATTTTTAAAAAATACATTTATCTAAACTTCATCTTTATAGGGTTTCTTTTCTTTTCTTTTTTGAGATGGAATCTCACTCTGTTGCCCAGGTTGGAGTGCAGTGGCATAATCTTGGCTCACTGCAACCTCTGCCTCCTGGGTTGGAGCAATTCTCCTGCCTCAACCTCCTGATGTACGCCATCACGCCTGGCTAATTTTTGTATTTTTAGTAGAGACAGGGTTTTGCCATGTTGGCCAGGCTGGTCTTGAACTTCTGACCTCAGGTGATCCACCCACCTCGGCCTCCCAGAGTGCTGGGATTACAGGCGTGAGCCACCGCACCTGGCCTATAGGGTTTCTTTTTGTATTTGGTGAAAGTGCTGGGCTAGTTGATAGATTTTGTGGTGAGCTTCCTATCTAGGGCTTCTGAGGGCCCCCAGGCTCATTTCTGGCATGTGATATAGCTGCCCTGACCCTACTTCCCAGGTGAGGTCTCTAGCCAGGTGCCCACTGCCTCATCAAAGAACACTGCTGTCAGCGATGGCCTGCTACGTGGGGTAGCCACTTAGGCCTTGCCTTCAGGGCCTGCTCCACAGAGACTGTGAAAAATCTCCAAAGCTTTGGGAAATCATCCAATATTACAGCTATTGCCACCACGCATGGGCTTTCTGCTTGAAATATTTACCACTGTTTTCCAACTCTAATACCATCAAACTCTCACCATTTTCAAGAGCTGAAAGAATCACTGACGGAGTCCTGCTGTCGGCCTCCAGGCCTCATCCCTCCAGGTCAAGCTGCTCCTTTGGTGATGGCAAATTGGCCTTTGTTGTCCTTCTTTAATCAGGTCCAAACTGCACAGGATTTAAAAGAAATTCTTTGAAGTTTCTGGCATTTATATGGCTTCCTTCCCTAGCTTCCAGTACTGATTTAAGGTTTTACATATTTTAAATTTTCCAGGTCATTTTGGATGGAACTGGGAGGCAGGTGGTTCAAATATGTGCCCTCAGCCTCCAATATTTCCCTTAAAATGTAGTAAGATGTGTTTTACTTTAAGCCTTATGAGAATTGTGAAGAGAACAATGCTCTGTTAGTTCTAGGAGAAAAGATTTATTATTAATAGTAAACATTATTCATTAATATTTTCAATTAGTACTTAATACTCATTTATTTACATACTTATTATATATTTCACTCTAGACTTTTTTCTTTTTTCTACGTTTGAAATGTAGTTGAGATCTTGCTGTACTGTATCAAATTTTATGTTGCTTGTAAAACTTGTTATTGTAAAGTAAACATTTCTCCATGCTACTGATAATTTTTCTTTTAAATATGTGTTATAACCCAGTTTTTAAAAGTCTTCTTGTATATGAATACATATCTGCATGTGTTTGTATAGACAAAGGAAAAATTATGGAAAGATATGCATCAGATTGGAAAGAGTCAGGGATATGGATCTAGAATAGGAGAGGGAAAGTATTACTTTCCGTTCACGAACTTCTATGTTGTTTAAATTGTTACCACAAAATGCTTTTTAATATAAAAATGCTCTCAATTTCTTGAGTTAATTTCTCAATTTCTTGAGTTAATTCAATTTCTTGAATTAATTTTTAAATTCAATGGCTACATCGTATTTTATTACCCATTCCATTATGTTGCATGTTTAGGTAGTTTCTATTTTTTTTCATGACTTAAATGTCTTTATTCTTAAAACTACACACACACACACACACACACACACACCACACACACAACTGTTTAGTTTTCTTAGAATTTATTCTTGGAAGTAGAATCATTCCAGTGAGAACATTACAAGCCAAATGCTTAATCATTTTCCAAAATAATTTTTCACTTTTTATTTTACTAGCAGAGCATATAATTACCCATCTGTTTAAATTATAATTATATTTGGTAGTTTATAATAGAAAACTAGAACCAACAGTGGCTCAAATACCTAACGACAAAATTTCATATACAATGCACAAAAAGCCCTTCACAAAATTGTGAAGTCCAGAGGTAGCAATACAAGGGGATATGGCGTCCTTTGAAATCAGTGGACACCCAGCTTCTCTTTGTCTTTTCTCATGGACACCATGCTTCCATCCTCAAGGCCACAATATGATTGTTGAATACATATCTGCATGTGTTTGTATAGACAAAGGAAAAATTATGGAAAGATATGCACCAGATTGGTGCGTATCTAACCATTGCATCCCCATTCCAGGCGGCTGGAAGGAGAAACAGGGATACAGAAAGAGGAATACCTACTATCTGAGCCTAGTTTCTTAAAGAACCGTATTTGGCGGTCCAGTAACATTGACTTTTCAGTGGTTTTATCTTAGTCACATGGACACACCTAGGTACAAGACAGGCTAGAAAATATACCTTCTGGTAGAGTACATTACTGCTTCAAATAAAAAAAGGATTATGTTACTCAGTAAAAAGAGGAGATGGACTTTATACAGAAAACTAACATGTTCTGCCACACTCCAGTGGCTACCATCCTGCTCTCATCATAATTACGTTTTCTGGTTTTAATTGGAGCTATTGTTTATCATTAGTGAGCTTTTGTATTTATCTACCTATATACCACAAGCAGAATTCTCCAGAAAGCAGATTCTGAGATAGAGATATGTAAACAGAAAAGTCCCTGGGACCAATACTTGTGGGGCAAGGAATAAGCAGGACTGGACAACAGAGGACAGAGGAAAAAGTTGGGCTGAGGGGCAGTCTCAACAAGTGTCTCAACTAAACTATAGGGAACTCTGAAGCTGGGATGTCTCTTCAGAATTGTTCCAAGTTTGACTAAGGGGGTCAGACTTTTATACCCCGCATTGGCCAGTCACTGGATGAAGTTCGACTGGGTAAAGGAAGCATGCCAAGGCAATTCCTGAAGCTGGGGGAGTAAGTTATTCAGTCCAGAAGGGTAACCTAGGTGGGGAAATTTTATTTCCTTTTGTGATTTGTCTGTTTATTTCCTTTGCTCATTATTACAACAACATTAGACTTTTAAAAGCCAATTTAAAACTTCAGTGTAAGGGCAGGCATGGGGCTCACGCCTGTATTCCTCACACTTTGGGAGGCCAAGGTGGACTGATCACCTGAGGTCAGGAGTTTGAGACCAGCCTGGCCAACATGGTGAAACCCCGTCTCTATTAAAAATAGAAAAATTAGGGCTGGGCGCGGTGGCTCACGCCTGTAATCCCAGCACTTTGGGAGGCCGAGGTGGGCGGATCACGAGGTCAGGAGATCGAGACCACGGTGAAACCCTGCCTCTACTAAAAATACAAAAAATTAGCTGGGGGGGGTGGCCGGCGCCTGTACTCCCAGCTACTTGGGAGGCTGAGGCAGGAGAATGGCGTGAACCCGGGAGGCGGAGCTTGCAGTGAGCAGAGATCGCGCCACTGCACTCCAGCCTGGGCGACAGAGCGAGACCCCGTCTCAAAAAAAAAAAAAAAGAAAAAAAAAAAGAAAAATTAGCTGGGTGCGGTGGCGTGCACCTGTAATTCCAGCTACTTGGGAGGCTGAGGCAGAAGAATCACTTGAACCCAGGAGGCAGAGGTTGCAGAGAGGCAAGATCGTGCCACTGCACTCCAGCCTGTATAACAGAGCGAGACTACGAATCAAAAAAAAAAAAAAATTTTCAGTGTTTCTTTTGTTTAAATATTTTGTTATTATCTGTTCATTAAAATTAGACATTCAAGAATCTCCTATCCAGATTTCACACATTACCATTAATGGTATATTTGCTTCAAATCTCTGTGATCCTCTCTTTTTAAAAAAAACCCCAAATCTTTACCTACACAGCTGAAGTCTCACCTCCGATACTTTCTCACTCTCTCCCCCTCTAGAAATGGCTTTTATTTTATTTGTAGCCTTCCCATACATGTTTTTATACTTTTAGCACAAATATGTGGCCAGCGATTAATTTTTACAACTTAATAGGTTATTAACATTTTAATACATAAATAATTTGATATCTTTTTTTCTTTTTTGAGAAAGAGTCTCACTCTGTCACCCAGGCCGGAGTGCAGTGGCACGATCTCGGCTCACTGCAGTCTCCGCCTCCTGGGTTCAAGTGATTCTCCTGCCTCAGCCTCTCCAGTAGCTGGGATTACAGGTGCATACCCCGACACCTGGCTAATTTTTTATCTTTAGTAGAGATAGGGTTCCACCATGTTGGCCAGGCTGGTCTCAAACTCCTGACCTCGGGTGATCCGTCTGCCTCGGCCCGCCAAAGTGTTGGGATTACAGGGGTGAGCCACTGCACCCGGCCAATATGATATCTTTTAATGAGAATTCAAAATAAATAGAACATTATATTTATAAATATTATGCCTAAATCTTCTTGCAAATCATAATAAAAAGATATCTCTTCACAAAGCTGCCTTTGTTTATTGCATTCTTATTGTTATCCATGTCTCTTTTTATTGGAAAATATTAAAAATCTTCACTTGGCAGAAGCACCAAAAGGAGTGGAAGAAATCACTTTACAAGTCCATGAACAAATCATATTCATCCCCTTCCACAATAATTCTTCTCAGTCAGACCAAGAGAAATTGGAATGAGGTGAAGTTCTGGGAGCACAAATTGCTCTGTATTTGTTAAAAAACAATGCCAAGTCTATGCCAAGGAAAAAAGAGACAATATTCAAATTACTAAAATCAGGAATGAAAAGGGGGACATTAATGTTGACTTTACATAAGTATAAAGGGATTGTAACAGAATACATTGAACACCCTTATGCCACCAAATTAGATAACCTAGATGAAATCAACAAATTCATAGAAAGACACACTTACCAAAATTGACCCAAAGAGAAATAGAAAATCTAAATAGATGTATAACAAGCAAAGAGATTGAATTAGTAATAAAAAATTTCCTCCCAAAACGTCTCAGGGCCAAATGGCTTCACTGATAAATTCTACCAGATGTTTAAGGAGTTAACACAAATCATTCACAAACTCTTTCAAAAAGTAGAGGAGAAGGGAACACTTCCCAATTCATTCTATGAGGCTGACTCTACCCTGAAACCAAAACTAGGCAAAGACATCACAAGGAGAAAAGGACATACATATCTTTTATGTATACAGATGCAAACATCCTCAACGATATACTAACAAACAAAACCCAGCAACATTTGAAAAGATGATACATCATGACTAAGTAGGTTTTATCCTACGGGTCCAAGTTTGGCTCAACCTGTGAAAAGCAATTACTATAATATACAATATTAATAGAAAAATTCAGATAATCATCACAATATCGCATAAAAGTGTTTAATAAAAATACCACACATTTCATAATAAAAACCAGGAAAGGATGGGAACTTCTTCAACCTTACAAAGGACTTCTACAAAATATCCAAAGCTAACATTATATTTAATGATGAAAGACTAAAAGCTTTCTTCCTAAGATCAAGAAGAAGATAAAGATATCTGTTTTTGCCATTTCTATTCAGCATGGTACTTGAGGTTGTAACCAGAGCAATTAAGCAAGAAAAAGAAGGAAAAGAAGGCATTCAGATTAGAAAAGAAGTAAATCCATTTCTAATTGCAGATGATCTTGTATGTAGAAAATTCTACAGGATCCCCAAAAACCTATTAGTATTAATATTAGTAGTAATAAACAAGCAATGTTGTAGACAGAGGATCAATATACAAAAATCAACTGTATTTTTACACACTGGCAATGGACAAAATGAAATGAAACGGAAATAACTCAGAAACAAAGTTAACAAAAAACTGCAAGAGTTACATACTGAAAACTACAGAACATTCTGAAAAAAAAAACTTTAAAAAATCTAAATAAATAGAAAGATATCCCTGTTCCTAGATTGAAAACTTAACATTGTTATAGTAATATCTCCAAATTGATGTACAAATTCAGAGCAATGTCTTTCAAATTCTCAGCACTCTATCTCTCTTTTTAAGGAAAAGCTGTGTGGTACTGGCATTAGGGTAAACATATAGATCAATGGTATAGGGCTGAAGATTTAGAAATAAACTCATATTTATGGTCAATTGATTTTTGGCTAGAGTGTCAAGATTATTCAATGGGGGAAAGATACGTCTTTTCAATAAATCGTGCTGGTGCAACTAGAAATTCATACGCAAAAGAATAAAGTTGGATTCCTAACCTTACACCATATAAAAATTAACTAAAAATAAATTAAAGATCTAAATGTAAAAGCCAAAACTCTTTAAAAACATAGATATAAAGCCAAAAGTGGTGGTGTATGCCTGTAGTCCCAGCTACTCATGAGATAAGCCAGGAGGATCACTTGAGGCCAAGAGTTTGAGGCTGCAGGACACTTTGATGCTTACACCTGTGAACAGCTACTGTACACCAATCTGAGCAAAATAGCAAGACCTTGTCAAAAAAGAAAGAAAGAAGGAAAGAAAGAAAGAAAGAAAAGAAGAAAGAAAAAAATAAGAAGACATAGGTGTAAATCTTTGTGACCTTTGATCAGGCAATGTTTCTTAGATATAATACCATAAGCATGAACAACCCTGCCCCCTACCCCCAAAAGGCAAGTTGAACTTAATCAAAATAAAAACTCTTGTGCTCTAAAGGACATTATTAAGAAAGTAAGGTTGGGTGTGGTGGCTCACACCTGTAATCCCAGTGCTCTGGGAGATGGAGGTGGGAAGATAGCTTAAGTCCAGGAGTTCAAGTCCAGCCTGGGCAATATAGTGAGACCCTGTCTCTGAAAGAAAACAAAAAAAATTAACCAGGCATGGTGGCACACCTGTCATCCTAGCTACTCAGGAGACTGAGGCAGGAGGATTGCTTGAACCCAGGAATTCAAGGCTGCAATGAGCTACGATGGCACCACTGTACTCCAACCTGGGTGACAGAGCAAGAACCTGTCTCTAAAATAATAATAATAACAATAAAAGTTTCAAAAAAGAAAATGAGAAGACAACATACAGAATGGAAAAAATATTTGCAAATCATATATCTGATAAGAGTCCAGTGTCCAGAATATATACAGAACTCTTACAACTCAACAATAAGACAAATAGCCCAATTTAAAAATAAGCACAACATCTGAATGGATACTTCTCCACAGAAGATATGTAAATGGCCAATAAAATGTGAAGATGCTCATTAGCCTATCAGAGAAATGTAAATCAAACCCTTAATGATATACCACTTTACAAAAGCTATTTGATAGCTATAATAAAAAAGAAAGATACCAGTAAACCTTGGTAAGAATGTGGGGAAACTGGAACCCTCATACCCTGCTGGTGCGACTTTAAAATGGTGCAGCTGCTTTGGAAAATAGTTTGAAAATTCCTTAAATGGTTAAACATAGAGTTAAAATATGATCCAGTAATTCTACTTCTAGGTAAATACCCAAGAGAAATGAAACATATGTTCACCCAGAAACTTGTACACAAATGTTTACAGCAGTATTATTCATAACAGCCCCAAATTGGAAGCAACACAAATGTCCACCAACTGATTAATGGATAAACAAAATTGATATATTCATACAGTGGAATATCACTCAGTCATAAAAAGGAATGAAGTACTCATAAATGGCTGAGCTTTGAAAACATTATGGTAAGTGAAAGAAGCCAGTCATAAAAGACCACATGTTGTGTGATTTCATTTGTATAATATATCTAAAGTAGGCAAATCCCTAGAGATTGAAAGTAGCTTAGTGTTTGCCAGGGGCTTACGGTAGAAGGGGTGGAGAGTGACTGCTTTTAGGGGTATGGAGTTTCTTTTTGGATCATGAAACTGTTCTGGAATCAGATAATAATGATGGTTGCATAACTTTGGGAATATGCTAAAAACCACTGAATTTTACATTTTAAAAAGATAAATCTTATGGAATGTGAATTATATCGGAATTCAGACATAGTAGACTCCCTTTATCCTCAGGAGATGTTTCAAGACCCCCAGTGCATGCCTGAAACTGCAGATAGTACTGAACCCTATATATGCTATGCTTTTTCCTATGCATACATACACACCTATGAGAAAGTTTAATTTATAAATTAGACATAGTAAGAAATTAACAGGAATAACTTAATAATGAAAATAGAATAATAACAATATACTGTAATAAAAGTTATGTGAATGTAGTTTTTCTCTCTCAAAATATTGTATGTAATATTTTTGGACTGTGGTTGAATGTGGGTAACTAAAACACAGAAAGGGAAACTGGATAAGGAGGGAGTATTGTAAAAGCAAGCATCTAGCATCTAGGTGTTGTGAAAGGCATTCAGGAACATTCTTTCCACAAGAAGCAGTCTTGTAATGCTCTATCCAATAGAATCCCAATTTTATTTAAAAATGGCATAGGAAAAATTAAAACTAGGATATAGTAAACAATGCTCACCTCTAGACAATTAATCGTTTCATTTGTCCTTTTTTACATTTATTCTTTAAATAGGTCAAGCTTAGATTACACGTCATGTAAAGAAATAGGAAAATAAAAATAAAAACAAAACAATTCCTAAATGTCATTGCTAGGAGCTTTTGCTAGCTCGTGGGAAGGGCAGTGGTAAGTAAATGTTTCACAGACCTTATTCCACTTAGAGACAAATGGTGCAATAGAAATCCCTACCTAAAAATTCAAGTTGGCCTAAGTCTAAACCTGTACATTCAAAGTGTCTGCCAGTATTTTTGTGTAGTTAAGGGTAAAGATCAAGGGTGAATGGGTTTTCTGTTTGAGCAGGACTTGTGATGGGCAGTGTCTTTGTCCCTAGCAAAACCTTCGGCCATAGTTTGGAAGTTGGAGATTGAAGAAAGGAAAAGAAGAATGGCATTAGGTAATCATGTAAAGGTCTACTTTCAGGGTTTATTTTAGGATAAGTCTTTGTAGATTGTCAGAGCTGTTAGGAAGATTTTTCCATTTAATGTGATTTAGTTTAGACAGTATGATCTTTAAGAACTATTTGTCTTTCGGAAGTATGTGGGTGTGTGTTTTACCCACAGGGTACTGGAGTCAAGATCAGACGATCTAAGTATATTCAGAAAGAGAATGAAGAGTCCTATTGAGAGGTGACAACGTGCTAGCAGCCCTTGCTCGCTCTCGGCACCTCCTCATGCCACGGCCTCCACTCTGGCTGCGCTTGAGGAGCCCTTTGGCCCGCCGCCGCACTGTGGGAGCCCCTCTCTGGGCTGGCCAAGGCTGGAGCCGGCTCCCCCTGCTTGCAGGGAGGTGTGGAGGGAGAGGCGCCGGCGGGAACCGGGGCTGCCTGCCGCACTCGCAGGCCAGCTCCAGTTAGGGGTGGGCGCAGGCTCAGTGGGCCCCGCACTCAGAGCTGCTGGTGGGCAGTGAGAGGCTTAGCACCCAGGCCAGCAGCTGCAAAGGGTGCGCCAGATCTCCCAGCAGTGCTGGCCTGCCGGTGCCACGCTCGAATTCTCGCAGGCCTCAGCTGCCTCCCCACAGGGCAGGGCTCGGGACCTGCAGCCCTGCAGCCCGCCATACCGGGGCCTCCCCCCACAGCCCCCCATAGGCTCCCACGCTGCCTGAGCCTCCCGGATGGGTGCTGCCCCCTGCTCTGCGGCGCCTGGTCCCATCTACCGCCCAAGGGTTGAGGAGTGTGGGCACACTGTGCAGGACTGGCGGGCAGCTCCACCCACGGCCCTGGCACAGGATCCACTAGGGGAAGCCAGCTGGGCTCCTGAGTCAGGTGGGGACTTGGAGAACTTTTATGTCTAGCCAGAGGATTGTATATGCACCAATCAGCACTGTGTGTCTAGCTCTGGGGGCATTCGTGGATGCACCAATCAGCACTCTGTATCTAGCTAATCTGGTAGGGACTTGGAGAACTTCTATGTCTAGCTGGAGGATTGTAAATGCACCAATCAGCACTCTGTGTCTAGCTCAAGGTTTGTAAATACACCAGTCAGCACCCTGTCAAAACGGATCAATCAGCTCTCTGTAAAACGGACCAATCGGCAGGATGTGGGTGGGGTCAGATAAGGGAATAAAAGCAGGCTGCCCTAGCCAGCAGCAGCAACCCACTCTGGTCCCCTTCCACCTGTGGTAGCTTTGTTCTTTCACTCTTTGTAATAAATCTTGCCGCTGCTCACTCTTTGGGTCCGCACTGTGTTTATGAGCAGTAACACTCACCACTAAGGTCTGCAGTTTCACTCCTGAGGCCAGCAAGACCACGAACCCACCGGGAGGAATGAACAATTCTGGAGGGGAGGAACAAACAACTCCAGATGCGCCGCCTTAAGAGCTGTAACTCTCACCGCGAAGGTTTGCAGCTTCACTCCTGAAGCCAGTGAGACCACGAACCCAACAGAAGGAAGAAACTCCGAACATGTCCGAACATCAGAAGGAACGAATTCCAGACACACTATCTTTAAGAACTGTAACACTCACCGCGAAGGTCCGTGGCTTCATTCTTGAAGTCAGTGAGACCAAGAACCCACCAATTCCAGACACAATGTCTCCACTTGACCCTGGCAGAGGGACCTTGAAAATTTTGGGAACTGGGTCACCAAAGGCCACTCTGGATGCACTTGTAATCTAGAGTGAATAGAAAATTCTATAATTGCTATTCTAGATAAAATTACTCAGATTTGAGAACTGGATTCCTTTTAGTTATTGTGTCCTATGGATTGTTCTGGTTGTTGAGACGAATTCTAGGGCAAGGCATGCCATTGTCGTGGTGAGGAAGTTGGGGTTTAAGTGAATGAAGATTCTCATTGTGAAGAATTGAAATATGACCCTGACTAGGAGAGGAAGGGACTAGAGGAGTCGTTCCAAGCCAAAAAAGCCAGCCCAGGCCGGGCGCTGTGGCTCACACCTGTAATCCTAGCACTTTGGGAGGCTGAGGCAGGTGGATCATGAGGTCAGGAGATCGAGACCATCCTGGCTAACATGGTGAAACCCCGTCTCTACTAAAAATACAAAAAATTAGCTGGGAGTGGTGGCGGGTGCCTGTAGTCCCAGCTATTCAGGAGGCTGAGGCAGGAGAATGGCATGAACTTGGGAGGCGTAGCTTGCAGTGAGCTGAGATCACGCCACTGCACTCCAGCGTGGCAGCAAAGCTTTTGTCTTCATTTTTATTTTTGAGTGGATAATAAACACATTGAGTACAAAATTTAAAAGCTACACAAAGCATATACTGTGAAAGGAAGCCATGCTCACTTCCCGCCTCCTCCAGCCACGAGTTCTCCCTAGAAGCAATCATTGATACCAGCTCCACAGGCATCTTTCCAGAGATACTTTCTCTAACCAACATCAAACCTTGAGTATAGATGTTACACCCAACAGCCTCATGTCAATGGTGCTCTGAGGAACTGAGGGGTGAGACAATGAAGGAAAGTGCAGCCTGCCCAGCCTATGCACTCCTCTGGAGCCAGCCTGGTAGTCCCAGTATGGTTTAGGGTGGGGGGCAGGTAGTTGTCTAGGAGTCTGAGGTAGTACCAAGCACCAGGGTAGGAGGGAAGCCTTCATCCTGCTCTTATAAGAATGAAGCTGAGCCACTTGGCAAACATGTGGATCAAATCAAGAACCACTACACTCACCACGAACACATACAATAGGCATTTTTAAGCTGTTAGAGCCACATAATTATTTTTTCCTACGACCTTTGACTTCTGTTGGATCGCTCTGTGCTCTTCCAGACTTCTTTCACCTCTTTCTCTAGGCTTCACCTCTGCCCCCTTATTAAGTCAACATGTGTACTTCCTGCATTACTGTGTCATTTATCTCTATCCCAAGAAGTATGTAGTTTTAGTAGAAAAGAGAGTTCTCATTTAACTCTCTAATGACACAATTTTGTGACTATTTAAAGCAAGTCATTTAGCCTTTCTGAACCTTAATTCTCACATCTGTAAAACTGATGACTACTTACATATTTCCCCGGCTTGCTAAGTAAAGCAATTATAAAATACTCATCAATGTGAAAAATAAGGTAGAAAGGTTCTGTTCTCCATGCTTCAAAAACCTTTGCTGCTAAGAAAGCTGCCAATACCTGCTTTGGGCATTGTGGGTGCTGCAGACTAGGAGCTCCAAGGCATGTTCCCAATGCAGAACCACCAGTCCCAGAGAAGATACACTATGGGAGATTCTGCTGGTCTTACAAGAGAGGTGGAAGTCTAGAAGAACCTCTTTATTCCAAAGAGAGAAAGAAAAAAAAAGGAGATAAATTAGTACAGCCATTATGGAAAACAGTGTGGCAGTTCCTCAAAAAACTAAAACCAGAACTACCACATGATCTAACAATCCCACTACCAGATATATCCAAAGAAAATGAAATCAGTATGTCTAAGAGATATCTTTACTCCCATGTGTAGCACAGCACTATTTGCAATAACCAAGTTATGAAAACAACCGAAATGGCCATCATGTATATAATTGATATAGTTTGGGTCTGTGTCCCTGTTCAAATCTCATGTCAAATTGTAATCCCCAATGTTGGAGGTGGGGCCTGGTGGGAGGTGATTTGTTCAGGGGCCGATTTCCCCCTCGATGTTGCTTTCATGATAGTGAGTGCTTGTGAGATTTGGTTGTTTAAAAGTGTATGGCACCTCCCCCATCTCTCTTTTCCTTCTGCTCCAACCATGTAAGACATGCCTGCTTCTTCTTCACCTTCCACCATGCTTGTTAATTTTCCTGGGGCCTCTCCAGCCATGCTTCCTGTACAGCCTGCAGAACTGCAAGCCAATTAAACCTCTTTTCTTTATAAATTACCCAGTCTCAGGTATTGATAGCATGCAAGAATGGACTAATGCAATAATGGAATATTATTCAACCATAGAAAAGAATGAAATCCTGTCATATGTGGCAACATGGGTGAGCCTGGAGGACACTAAGTGAAAGAATCCAGGCACAGAAAGATAAATACCATAAATATCACATGTTCTCATTCATCTGTAGAAGTTCAAAAATTTGATCTCATAGAAGTAGAATAGTGGTAACTAGAGGCTGGAAACTAGTGGCTGGGAGGGGAGATAGGGAGAGGTTGGTTAATAGGCATAAAATTATAGGTAGACAACAGGATTAAGTTCTAGTGTTCTATTGCACTGTAGGGTGACTATAGTTAACAATAATTTATTGCATACGTTCAGGTAGCTAGAAGAGAGGTTTTTTTTTTTGAGATAGAGTTTCGTTCTTGTTGCTCAGGCTGAAGTGCAGTGGTGCAACCTTGGCTCACTGCAACCTCCGCCTCCTGGGTTCAAGCAATTCTCCTGCTTCAGCCTCCCGAGCAGTTGGCATTACAGGCACACACCACGATGCCCAGCTAATTTTTGTATTTTTAGTAAAGACAAGGTTTCACCATGTTGGACAGGCTGGTCTCAAACTCCTGACCTCAGGTGATCCACCTGCCTCGGCCTTCCAAAGTGCTGGGATTACAGGCGTAAGTCACCACGCCCGGCCTAGTAAAGAGGATTTTGGATGCTCCCAACATGGAGAAATAATCAATTTTGAGGTGATGGATATGCTAATTACTCTGATTTGATCATTACATATTGTATACAAGTATTGAAATATCACTCAGTACCCCATATATATGTACAGTTTTATGTCAATTAAAAATAAGAATAATAATAAAAGAAAATGGGGGAAAAGAGCTGAGGCCTTGAGGAGCAGGCCACTGGGAGGAGCAGAGCTGTCTTGGGGTGGCTGCTGGTGGAAACTGAGATTTGGATCTGGTCTGAGGTGGGGATGTACAGCCGAGGATTCTGCACTGAGGCAATGGCAGCAAATGATTCACAATAGCCTGAGAACACCTTTCCTGGATTAACTGTGTAAGTTTCAAATCAAGGAACAAAAGTGGAAATCAAATCTCTACATCTGTAAATCACAATTTTATGTACTGCATAAATAACTTTTTATTATTTTCTTTTTGTTTTAAATGTTCTATAGTGTTTGTATACTCAGAAAAAAATGACTTTAAAAAAATTTGAAAATGAAAGAAATATAATAGCCCTAAACATAGAAATGGTAATATAATGATGGCACTTTAGGAATCATCAGAAAAGATACAATTAAGACTGAAAATCAATAGGAAAAATGGTATAATGATACCAAAAAACAAGTGTGTGTATATATTGTATAATTAAAACTATATAAAATATATACAAAAAAACTAGAAGGGAATGTATGAAAACATTGATAGTTGTGTTCTGAAGGTTTTAAAAATGTTTGAGCAATTTTTAAAATTTTCCCCAATTTTTAAACCTTCTTTAAGATTGTTTTATTACTTCAAATCTTTACAAATATCTCAGGGTTCTCGGGGACAAAGGACAGCTAGGAATAAAACAAATCCAGAACACAAATTATTCACACGGAATGCTGTGACTCTGGGGTGGTGAGATTTAGGGATGGCTTCTACCAAGTGAAAGAAATGTGGCACCATGGATGGAAAATATAGAGTGTTCTCACTTCTTTCCGAGGGCCCACAAGGATGAGATGGGCCTTGTGATCTTCAGAGAGTGAGCTGTATCTTAAGAATTATCAGGATTCATGTTGCTCTCCAGATGTATTTACTTTGCGTAATCCCTGAGACTTCAATAAACACTGATTTAAACACACTGGCCTCGTTTCTGCTTGTTGTGGGCAAAAAGGGAAGATCACTGTGGCCATCTCAGATTCCACTGGGCCAGAATGTCGTGCAAGGGAATGGATTAGGAAATGGAGTCAGGGGCTCTGGACTCAGCTCTTCCCTTCCTAGTCAAGAGAGTGTCCTCCTGGTGAGGCTCTGGAAGCTTCAGGGCTTTATTTGAGCTCTGGCTGGAGGCATTTCCCATCAGCTGTCAGGTGGCTTAGAGTAGTGGGAGTAGGTGGTCCAGAGCCACAGGATAGCGCGTCTGTGGCTGTTGCTCGAAGTTGCTAACTTTGTGGTTGCTAAGTGGCCAACATTCATTAGCAGTCTTCAATTCTGTCCAGTTTCAAAATGACACTCAAGATGCTTAATCTCCTCTTAAAACAGGAGCACTTTCAAGCTGTGGCTGAAGATTCCATATATCAGGATATTCTCAGCAATGATTTTTTTTTTTTTTTTTTTTTTTACCCTCAGAACCAATCATGCACTAAGTTGCTACCTCTTTAAAAATTTTGATCCACTCCTGCTTCTTCAACCCTCCTGCCACTGCCTGGGTGCCCCCATGATTTTATGTCTATGTTATTGCAATTGCCTGGGAATTATTTCACTGCCTTCGTTCTTAGGACTCTCACCCCAAAATGACCAGAATGCTTTTAAACATAGATTTGACCTGTTACTCCCATATTCAAAACCCTTCATTGATTACAGGATACAGTCCACATGGCCCTTCATTGATTACAGGATACAGTCCACATTTCTTAGTCTGAAATTTTAGACGCTTTAAAATTTCTCCCCATCCACATTTCCAACCTCATTTTTTTTAACCACTGGTAATATGTTTTAACTACCCAATACTACTTAAAAGTCCTTTTTTCTCACCATCTTTTTTCTTTCCTTACTTCCTTTTTACCTCTGTCCTTTCTCTTCATCTTATTTCTTAAAACAACAAGAACAACAAAAATCTCCATAAACGTGGAAAATATAAATGAAAGACAAATTTACAATCTAATGACCTCAACAAATAATTACTTTAATATGTTAGATAGTAGTCCATTATTTCTTATGCGCATACTAATGCTGGGTTCTAAACATTTTAATTATTCTTCTTTCGAAGAAGTGGAGGTTCAGAGAAATCCGGACAAATTTTCCTCATTTTTTTATGTCACTCCTCATCTCTTGTTTTAATCACAGGTTTAGGAGGTATAAAATTTAGTCCTTAAATGCAGAAAAGCAAAATACCTACTTCTCTTTACTTTTCTCTGACTCCATACATTGGTTTCTGTTTCAAATTCCATTCTTGCCAAGCCTCCCCCCGTTTCCCCTGAGTTGCATCAAATCCTCACCGTCATCTAGCCACAGCGGCATCGGCTGAGACCTTCATCCTGATTGTTCCTTGGGTGCTGTTTAGTGCCAGCCACTGAAGAGAACCTCCTTGTTTCCACCCACGTGGCCCCATCTGGTTTCAGGGCCTCCTCTGTGCTATTTTGGGGTGCGAGGAGATCATTTTTCAACGCCTACAGCATGGCGGGACTGGGAACTCCACAGCCTCCGCAACACTTTTCGTGCCGCCATTTCTTCTCAGGGTCTTGCCGCCTTTCTCAAGCTCAGCCTGTGGAGTAAAGCGCAGGCACATCTCTCAGGTACGTAACGGCGCCACTGCCCTCTCTGCTTCTCCAACTCTCCTTTTCCAATCTTTTTCTAGTTTGAGTCCTTTCCGTTCTCCTAAGGAGCTAGACTTAAAAAACGTAGAAATCTGAAAAGACTCCTTTTTGGTGCTTGTTGCCATTCTGAGTTCTTCCTGAGCTGAAGGTCAAATCTGGTGTTTGAATGGAGGTTAGGGTCAAGGCAGAAAACGAAACACTTGGGAAACCTTTAATATTTCTAGAATACTCTTCTGACACAATAGCAGAGAGAAAATTTTACTTTCTGCTTTTTTTTTAGTTGACCATAAATATCACCAAATATTATTACTTAGCCTTTAAAATAACTTTTAATACTTGCCTAATCATACATTGCCTAAATTCCAAGAGGCATGGGATTTGTTTTGTTTGTCTGTTTGTTTTTTGTGACAGACTCTTGTTCTGTTGCCCAGGCTGGAGGGCAGTGGTGTGATCTCGGCTCACTGCAACCTCCACCTCCCTGGTTCAAGTGATTCTCCTTCCTCACCCTCCTAAGTAGCTGGGATTACAGGCATGCACCATCATGCTCAGCTAATTTTTGTATTTTTGGTAGAGATGGGGTTTTGCCATGTTGGCTAGGCTGGTCTCGAACTCCTGACCTCAAGTGATGCACACTCCTCGCCCTCCCAAAGTGCTGGGATTACAGGTGTGAGCCACCGTGCCCGGCTTTGTTGTGCTTTTTGGTTCTGAGGAATGTTGAAGCTCACTGTGAGGGGGCCAGAGGTGTAGAGAGGACACTGGGAGAGGGATTATGTATCAAAGGTGATTTCAGGGTCCTCAGTTTCTGGCTATCACTGCCGGCAATGAAATGATAGAAACATGAACGTAAATTAGACACATTTATTTGAGTTTCTGTCTGTGTTTATATTAAACAAAGAAGTTCTATGGCTGTGGGCTCCCCCAAGAGCCTGATGCTTTCTGAAAGATCAAATATGTACCTCATATCTTTTTGTTGTTGTTGTCATTGTTATTGAGACAGAGTCTTACTCTGTCGCCCAGGCTGGAGTGCAGTGGTGCAATCATAGCTCACTGCAGCCTCGACCTCCCAGATTCAAGTGATCTTCCTGCCTCAGCCTCCCTAGTAGCTAGGACCACAGGCATGTGCCACCACTCCCAGCTAATTTTTTTTTAAACTATTATTTGCAGAGACGAGGTCCATTATATTGCCCAGGCTGGTCTCAAGCTCCTGGGCTCAGGTGATCCTCCCACCTTGGCCTCCCCAAATGCTGGAATTACAGGTATGAGCCACCATGCTAGCCTACCCCATGTCTTAGTGCAGTTCACAATTGGGTAGATAACACCAAATAAGAACATCATAGATACATGGAGAGCTTGAGAAAATAAGTAAAAAGGCTGTTTGCTATTTTAAAAATTTAGTCTGCTGGCCCTGATATAATATCTAGTACACTAGACTCTGATCCAATGATTCAAGTTCAAATTTACTTAATTTTGTTTGCATATAAGATGACATATTGCAAAGTACTTTCATGTCTAGAATTTTTACATAGAATGAACTCCAAGGTGGCAAATTTGTTGGAAGAGAGATGAGAAGATCAAGTGAATTATTTTGAAGCAGGCTTTGCATAACAAACGCAAGACTTTTCATAGATTGTGTATTTGGGCCCAATAGATATTGATCTCCAGCCACCCTAGGGCACAGCTACTGAAGGTAGGTACAGGCTTGGGTGGTCTGACAGTCCTTACTTGTTATGTGATCTTGAGCAACTTACGTAACTACTTTGGGTGTTAATTTTCTCATTTGAAATATGAATAACCATATCTACCTATTAAGGTTATGATAAGGATTTGAGACAAAGTAAAGTGCCTGGCACATAGTAGGCATTCAGTAAAAAGTAGATATTATTGGTAAATATTATTCCCGCAAAAGCATTTATGAGCACAAACAGGATAATTATGGAGGAAAGATGAAACTAAGAAAACAAAACAAAACTAACACCAACAACAAATTACTCAGTCTGTGATGATTGTCCTTTTGGGAGCTTTAAAAGCTGATCATTGCTTGATTTCATGATATTACCCTTCCCCAGGCCCCACAAAGTATTATATGACATGTTTATTAGTTTAAGTGGTTTTGCTTCTTGAGACTTTAGAATTTTGTAACACCCTTTGTGCTACTGAAGATTCTCTGGGGAGTCACAAGACCAGTATCAAAATTTCCTTTTAAAATATTAACAAAAAAGTAAATAAATTATCTCTCTCTAACGCAGGCAGAGCCAAGATAACATCTAATAAAGGGCTGGCTTCATTAGGCTGACAACAGAATGCTATTTAACCACCTTGTCCCTTCCCTCTGTCTTGCTTCTCCTTGCCCTTCCCACAAATAAGCACTGGAAATTAAAAGCTGCAATTCTACCCCAAAGTAATTACCTTGATGCATAGATAGGACATTCCAAAGGGCAGAGAAGAGCATGTGCTAACAATCAGAAAAGAAGAAAAACCAGAGAGTGAGGACCAGTGAGCATAGGATTCAAGGAGTAGCTCTGGACAAGAGCAGACAGGATGAAAACCCTAAAGAGGATTTGGGAGGTGGAACACAGCCAAGGAGAAAGGATAACAATATACAGAACCCAGTTTACCCTCTTGATGCCCATACAGCAATTGGGTTCATTAGTCTCCTGAAAAAAAAAAAAAAAAAAAAAAAAAAAAAAAAAAAAAAAAAGCTTCTCCTCCCAAATCTCTCCAAAAGCATAAATGCTAACTGCAGAAATGTCAATGAAAACTCTTACCTGAGCATATTCTAACCACTCTTAGAAATCAGGATTTCTTGGGAAACTTCAGTGCTTAGCCTAGTTCTGCTATTAATGATTTGGGAGAGTTTGAGGAAATTACTCTACCTGTTTTGACCCCAGTGACCTCATTTGTATTCTTCTGTTGAACAAGTATTTGTGTAGCAACTACCAGAGGCCAGGTATTATGATACATCTTGATGGCAAAATGGAGAATGAGAGAGACATGGTTTTTGACCTTATGGAACTCACTGTGTAGTGGAAATAGACTAAACATAAACACAATGATGGTGAGTCCAATGAAAGGTGAAGAAAGAACATTAGGCTGAAGCTGCATGATGGCCAGGGGCACCGAGGCTGGCAAGACAGGTCAGCCTGAGTACTGACGGGGGAGGGGCCCCAGGGAGAGCAGGCCGAGGCAAAGCCTGAAAGGCCACATGCTGCAGGGACGTGGAGGCATAAGGAAGGCCAAACCATGGATTTCATTTGAAACGCAATGGGAAGGCCCTGGAAGAACAAAAGCAGAGGTAGGATGGTTTATAAATATGTATGCTTTATAAATATGTCACATTCCTAGCAGTTTGAAAATTCTATTATTCTGACTATCCATCCTAAGCACTTATGGCCCAAGTAGTCTCTTTAATATAAGAGAAATTTCTCCAACCTGAAGAATATTCTTTGGATTAGAAAATCTCTTTCTAGGTACCCTGTGACCTCTCCTCTCACCTTCTACATTCACCTGGCATGTTTATCTCTCTACCTGTGTGACCATTCCCATGTCTGCAATTTCTTGGCATCTTCCTTCAAGCCCCACATCCAAGTATGCTTCTCATACCTTATTGACATTTGATGAACTACGTTCCAACTTGCCTTCAATTCCCTATAAACCTGGAGTGTCACCTGACTGAAGCCTCTAGCTTTAGCATGCTAAGCCATGAGAATTCTTCTCCATGAAATCATTTACTTTCCCATAAAATTTGCTTGAGAACTGTTTAATAAGCTCCTTGTCAAGGAAGAGAGAAGGAACTCAACAAACATTTGTATTGTACCCTGTATCTCCCACAAAGATAAAGTTGTTGTCTCCAAATTACGGCCTCTGTAGACATCCTAAACCCTTTAGGCTTAAGTGTTTTAGGATATCCAGTGAGAATTCAACAAACATCACATGGCGGGGAACCATAACCACAATGCCTGCTTTTCAGCACTTTTAACTTGTGGGATCTGAGCAAAGAACTGGCCTTTCAAGACTCCATTTCTCACAGAAGTACAGTAGTTTCTTCCTCATGTGTTAATTTAGTTTGGCAATATATTGCAGCTATTGTACAGCTTTTGCGTTTTATGGTTTGACACAAGAAGGGACAGCTCTAATACCTTCGAATTTTGTATGGATTGTGGGTGCCCAGAGCCGACATTTTCCAGCAGCTGGTAAACAGCTTTAAGATTGAGAACCTCTTCTTTTTGCTCTCATTTGCCTGGAGAGTCGTAAATGTCAGAGTCTTGTAACTTACACACAAATAAAGCCCATTGGTAAGTCAGTAAAAGCAGTCTGGACACATGCTCACAATGAGCATATGAAGACACTTCATTATCTCTTTTCCTGGTGGCAGTGCAAGGAAAGAGCGTGGAAGAGATACCCGCCCAGCTTCCAGATGAACTGCATGTTTAAAGCTTAGTTGAAAGATATACTTAACATTCAACTGAAACATGCAAGTCTGATGAAAGAGGTATTGTCATCAGGTTTTCCTATAGTTTAAACAATTTGGAATAAAAAGATTGGATTGTTAGATCAGAAAGAAGGGCAATTGCAATGCACAGACCATTTTCTAAGAATAGTTGTTCTTATTGATTAAGAATTTAAAAAAACCTCTTTAGTTGCCTTTTACATTTATTCTCATCTTTTTTAAAAAAACTCTCACTCTATCTCTTTTTGTAGGATTATGTCTAACTACTGGTTATTTTTTAAAATTTCAGTTTCTTCAGAATTATCTGTTCATTTGTTTTCCAGAATGTTAAGTCCTCCTGGCAAAGTCTTACAATCTATTTTCCTTGAACCTATAAGAACCTTGTTAACTGTGTGATATGCAGCAAACCAAACATTTGTGTAGTATCTGTCTGCCTAGGAGATAAAGCTGTTCTTGCAGTTAAAGTCCTGGAAGACATCAATAACCCCCTTTTGCTTTAGGCATTTCAGGAGAATTGCCAAGAGAGAAAGGGGGAGGGGAGACAGAGCTGGAGAGGGGGAGAGAGAGAGAGGAGACAGAGAGAGAGGATCAAGTCTAGATGTGTGGAGAACCTCAACCTCAATCTCTTGCAGCAAGAAAATGAGTATACTAGGGCAAATAAGCATCTTGAAGAAAAGATTGATACAGAAATTAATATGTTGACTATTTTTATTCTTCAAAAGTAACATAATAGCCAAAGTTCTTCAGAGCAAATTGTTTTTTATTAGGTTTTTAAAATAAAATTACTGCTTGATCGAATGCAACAATCTTGATTTTTCTATTTTAGTTTAATGAATAGCTGTGTGTCGAATTTTTCTAAGAGAATAAAAACTGCTCATAATTCCAGTAAATTCATAGAAAGAAATGTTAATTTATAATAATGTCCTTAGTTTTCCCCAAAGATTATGGATATGATAGGGCCTAATTCCAGATTTTTTTATAGACCACTTTTCCAAATGCCACAAATCCAAATAAAGTTCAATTTTAAAGGCTTCTATACGTTACAGAGTTTTCTTCAAAAGTTTTCTCCAGAGTCGAGCCAATTTGTAAATTGTCCTCAACGACCTACTTTGATGATTGAAATGCTTTGTTTGGGAAGCAAAAGATATAGTTTATGAAAAATGCTTACATTGAAGAACACAATTATTACAACAAAATGATTATAAAAATGACTGCCCTATTGTTCAGTGAATTATAGTTTTCTGTTATTCTAGAAATGAATGTTAGTTCCTTCATTTTCTAAATTGGAATCTTCTGTATGTATAATGTATGTTGGTGGTAACTGGTGTGCATGTACGTGTCTGTTCCCTACGGTTCCCCTTACTTCAATGCCCAGCAAGTTGACACAGCTGCTATTTGTGAATATAACGTATCAAGAATCTAAAAGAGTCAACACGAACTCTTTAGCACCTCAACTTACATTTTGGGTAATTTCCTATGCGAGTCCTTAATGCAAGGCATTCTCTTCCTTCCTTCCCTTTTCTCTCCTCTCCTGTTCTCCCTTGATGTCCCTCGGATAGCACTGGGGAAGACAGTGCAATGTACGCAGCTAGTTTCTGCTGACCTGCAGCCTGCTCTTGAATTTGAAATTAGGTCTTCAACATGAGGCTGTCAGCATTTTACCAAAATACTTCATTGATGTGTAATAACACATTTAACAAATGGCAAAAAATCAATCACGATCTGAGAGATTTAGATCTAATTTCTGAATAGAGTAAGTTGAACATTTCCCAGAGTTGTTTTCTTCTAATAGCATCAAAGCTATATTGGGAGTGGCCCAGAAAGCTGTTAAGTTGTTGCAGGGGTCCGATGTCAAACTTCTTTCAGAGGAGCTAAACTAAGTGGCTTCTTGAGCTCCTTTCTTATAGGATTCTGGAATCTGGAGACCTAGAAGCCCTGGAATTTTTCAGAAGCAGTCATGAGAATTTCTGAGTTTTTGCGTCCAAGGACTGTTGAAAGTAACAGGTATTCCACTTACTAAGTAGACCAGGGCTAAAGGAAAGAAGGAAGGAAGAGAGGGAGAGAGAGAAAGGGGGTAGAAAAGGGAGGGAGGGAGGAAGAAAGGGAAGAAAGAAAGGAAGGAGAGAGGGAAGGAGGCAGGGGCAGATGAGGGAGGAAAAACAATGAAAACAGAAATTTGTTTAATATTTAAAGGTTAAACTTGTGGCACGTTTACCCCTGCACATTTTCTCTCTCTCACACACACACACAGTGTGTGTGTGTGTGTGTGTGTGTGTGTGTGTGTGAGAGAGAGAGAGACAGAAAAAGGGTACAGTTTGCCTATACTTTGATTTTCATTGCTTCACCCAGCCATCTTCAAATTCGTTTTCCTCTTCTCGCAAACATTTTTCCTACTCTTAAACACCTATTTACCATTCCATTCCCGACTCTGCCACTCTGCTGCTCCAGTCCACCAAGATCCTGTGCTTATCCTGCCTGTTCAGCCTTCCCTGACCACCCTAGCCCAGAGCTGTTTGTCCCCTTGGTCTCCCACTTACAGTCTGAACTAGTCATTTGGCCCATATCAATGACAGCATGGTGGTGCCACTTATCTCGTCTCATGTATATGTCTTATCTGTCCAATTAGATTCAGAACTCTTAAAAGCAAGAACTATTATCTTTCGTTTTTTTCTTTTTTTAAATTGTATCGCACATAAGAGCTTACACATAGTGGTAGGTGGTCAATAAACATTTGTTGATTAATTGGTTAATTAAACAGTTGAGAATACAATGTTTTATTAAGGCTACCTTGTTGGCTAAATAACTTGTCAGTTTAACAACCTTCATAAGCAAGAAAATTTTATATGTGAACTAAACTCTTTCAAGGTTCAAATTTGTGAAACTTCAGGATAGAAACAGGATAATTCTACTCTGTTCTTGTAGCAATGACTTAAATTTCTTAAACAAAATATCTACCCTAGCTGTAGTATCCATTTCAAGTTAGAATTTTTGAGGAGATTTGTGTTGGGCTGCATAAAAAGAAAGAAAAGAATCAGTTACTGGTGTAGCATTATTTGTGATTTCATAACCCCTTTCAATATATCAAAATTTCTTTCTTCAAATTTCTCCCTAGAAGTGCAATTTTCACAGTAGCCAAAGATCTACTTAAGACTAATTTCCCTTCCTGCTGTATTTTTGTCCAGATTGTACTATTCAATTCAGATTAGAAGTCAGGGGGTATTTCTTTGTTGTTTCCTGGACAGGACTGAAAATAGAGTTTGTCACAACAAGAAGTAATTACAGAGCACTTAATATTTGTAAAGTGCTTTCCAATCTTGTACCAGTTTGTCTTTGAAACAGTATTGTTGATGTGGGCTACTTATCTCCTGAATTTCCAGATGGAGAAAGGGGCAGAGAGGTTAAGTGGCTTGCCTGAAATTTAATAGTATGTTACTTGTAGTGCTCCAGTATTCAGTATTAATGCTTCACAAGTCTTGAGTGAAAAATGTTATCCATATTTCCTTTCTAATTTTGAAGGCAAATATAGTTCTAGGGCTACCCATTAGTAGCCCTAGAATTTTTTAGTGATTTTTAGTCCTTAAGACTAAAATTTTAGTGATTTTTAGTCCTTAAGAGATTAGAAGATACTTTAACAAAATAAAATTAATTAAAGAAGTTTTAAGTAACTTAGTGCATGAAAAAAATCGTTTTGTGGTATAGAGGTGCATACAAAACTATATAGGACGTTTTCACCACAGTAGCCAAGTAGTTGAAACATCAATTTAAAAGCTAACAATAAAGCTCTCTCTCACTAAATAGTTTTTAGGCAATAAGACTTCAATTTTACTTGCGATAATTTTATGCATTGAGAGAAGAGGGTAGGGCCAGCCTGTGGGTCGGGGGTGAAGGGTGTTGGTGCAGGTAGCCTGCTGTCACTGGATCTCAGCTTTCAGACACCAACTTCCAGACCTGTCACTGCTAAACTCAGTGAGTGGCTTAGAGCCTTAGATTTTTTCCTCTCTAGACTTATCATAGACATTTCTTTGCCCACAATCACAGAAAGCCATCTTGGTATTCTGTTTGGTTCTGAGAAGGCTTCTTGTGTTGTGATTGGTTTCTTTCTTGGGAGATGGGGTGCAATTGGAGGAGGGGAGCTGTTAATAAATGGACTTTTACCCAGGTTAATTACTACCTTTGCTCATATATGTCCAGTTTACAGTTTGGAACAAGATTAAATGCCTCTAATTTAAACATCATTGAGGAAGCATTCTATGAAGCCCCTAAACAATATTTAAATTCTTGTCCCACAAGCCAAATAGGGCCAAGGAATCTCACCCCTTTCAAGCCCATTAGCCAAGAAAAACCTTAACCACACTTTCAGGAAATCCCCTGTTTGGTGGGGCTCTGGAAAAGCTGAATGAATAGTTACTGTTATCCTTACTTTACTCTATATATCAAGACACATTTTTGAAGGAAGAGAGATTTGCATACCCATTAAGGTCTCCACAGCTCAGATATTCTTGGCCCCATCTTTGAAACTGATCATCAAGTAGGTGTTGGTAATCCTGATATATTTTGGTGGGGAGGTGGGGATCAAATCAAGTAAGCTATAAAATCTTTCAAAAGTGACTTCTAGGAAAAAAATAAAAGTAAGTTCTCTTATTTGAAGTGGTCAGTCTTTTTCACTCTCTGAGAAAAACCTTTTTGCCTACCTTAGCTAAATAAGTTAACAGTAATCCCTGGAATTTATGTAGAATAAAATGTAAAAGTTGTTGTCTTTAGTTCTTATGACAGCTACATTCATCTTGTGTCTGCATAAAGCTGAGTCTTTAGAAATATGGCCTTTGGTCCCTCTTAGTATAACAATTAAAGTTGAAAAGATTTTATAATCTTAATATTGACTTATTTTTAATGAACTATAATTCTTCTTTCTTTTCCTACTGTATCATTAAAGGCCTATTAAATTAGACAGGCTTTTTTTTTGCCCAAGGAGATATAGAGTATATAGAGTCAAATGAAAAATTCATCTTGGAAGTGACACCCCAAAGCAATCTCACTATGATAATATAAGAATGTAACCACGGAACACATATCTCTTTAATTTCACAGCTGGCATGTTTATTACCTATTTATTTAACTCCGTCCATCTCTGGAAAAACCTTAACATTAAAGATGTTATTGATTTTTCAAAGTGTGCTTTTGGGGACAAAGGGGCAGAGCAAGAACGTGGAATAGAAGGCCCCACCAATCATCTCCCTACCCTCCCTCCTCCCAGGAACACCAAATTCAACAGCTATAAAAAGCTCCTTTGTAAGACTTACCAGAAATCAGGTGATTACTCACAGTACTTGGTTTTAACTTCATAACTTTGAAAGAGGCACTGAAGAGAGTGGGAAAGACCCTATTGAATCATTGACACCACCCCTACCCCATCCTGTAATGGCTGCATGGCATGGATAAACCTGTGTGCTTGAAAGAAGGAGACTGCAGTAATCATGAGACTATGCATTGAATTCAGTGCTGTCCTGTCACAGTGGAAAGCAAAACCTGTCTGAACTCAGCTGATGCCTGGCCGTGGAGGGAGTATTTAAACCAGCCCTAGCCAGAGGGGAATCATCTACCCCAGTGGCTGGAACTTGAGTTTTAGCAAGCCTCACCACAATGGGCTGAAGTGCTTTGGGGCCCTAAATAAATTTGAAAGACAGTCTAGGCTACAAGTACTGCAAGTCCTAGTGCTGAACAGGCTCAGAGCCAGTGGACTTGGGGGCACATGACTTACTGAGACACCACCTGGGGAAGCTAAGGAAGTGCTCATACCACTACTCCCCCAACCCCAGGTGAAACAGCTCTCAGCCTCAAAAGAGACCCCTTCCTTTCACTGAAAGAGAAGAGAAGGAAAAGTAAGGAGGACTTTTGTCTTATATCTTAGATACCAGCTTAGCCACAGTAGGATAGGGCACTGGTCAGAGTCATGAGGCCCCAGTTCCAGGCTCTAGCTCCTGGACAGCATTTCCAGACATACCCTGGGCCAGAAGGGAACTCACCGCCTTGAAGGGAAGGACCCAGTCCTTGCAGGATCCATCACCTTATAACTAAAGAGGTCTTGGGCCCTGAATAACCAACAGCAATACCTAGGGACTATGCCATGGGCCTTGGGTGAGACTATGAGATGTGCTGATTACCCAGCACATTCACAGCTTCTGTAGCTGTGGGGAGAGAATCTCTGCTTGACAAAAATTATTTCCTCAAAATTTTGAAATTTCTGGTTAGGAAGGAGATTTCAGCCTGATAGTCTTTAGCAGTGGCGATAACTATGCATAATGGTCTATCCCCACCTCTACCAGTAAAGTTATTTTAGGAAACCATGAGGGGTTTTTAGTGGTGGATTCCACCTTACAGTCAGTGGTTTAGAAACCTAAAAAATAATATAACCTCAGGGAATTTCAGATTTGGGAATTAATTTATTTAATGGATCAAATTACACTGAGTTTCAATGTGCATATACATTAGATATATATGTAAAAAATGAACCTTGATCCCTACCTCACACCATACTAAAAAAGTAATTCTAGGTGGATTATAGAACTAAATGTGAAATGAAAAGCAATAAAAATCATAGAACATAGGAAATTATCTTGGTAACTTTGGAGTTGAAAAATATTTTTTAAACAGGATACAAAAAAATGCTAACAATAAAGGAAAAGATTGACATGCTGAACTTCAGTAAAATTAAAAATTTCTGTCATTCAAGACATCATTAAGTGATTTAAAAGGCAAGCCACAAAATGGGAGGATATATTTGCAATGCATAGAACCCACAAAGGACTCATAGCCAGAATATTTAAGGAACTTCTATATGTCAATAAGAAAAAGACATTTCAGTAGAAAATGTGCAAAAGGCTTAGCAGGGAAGTTATAAAAGAAGTCACCCAGTAACTAATAAATATTAAAAGTCATCAGGGAAATATAAATGTGATTTCACTGTATCCTCATCAGAATGGCTAATATTAAAATGAGTGACAATAACAAGGCGTGGCAAGGATATAGAGTAACTTACACTTCTGGTGAAATTGTAAGTTGGTACCATTGCTTTAGAGAACAGTTTGGCAGTATCTCCTAAACCAGAACATAAATATATGCTATGCCAAATGATTTCACTTCTAGATATATAACTATTAGAAATGCATTAATATGTTTTTTAAAAAAACATGTTCACAGCAGCATTATTCATACTATCCCCAAACTGGAAACAACCCAATTGTTCATCAACAGGAAAATAGCAAAATGAATTATGGTATATTCAGACAATGGTATACAATGGAGTAATGAAAAGGAATGTACTGCAGATATATGCAGCAAAATGGATGAATCGCATAAATGTAATGCTGCTTGAGAAAAGCCACACACAAAAGAATACTTACTATAGGGTTTCATTTATATGAAGTCCAAAGATAGGCAAAACTTACTAATGGTAATGGTAATAAAAATCAGGGTAGTGTCTATACGAGCACAGCATAATCTCACCTAGTCTGACTAATACAATATAAAAAATGTCACCTTCCCTCTGAAGCTTTACCTGATATTTTCATTCTGCAATTACAGGAAGATATTATTTGTATTTCTATTTAACATTTACATAATTCTGTCTTGCTTCATAATTAGCTTTGTAAAGAATGTCTGCTTTTCAAAAGAAGACATACATGGAGCCAACAAGCTTATGAAAAAAATTCAATATCACTGATCGTTAGAGAAATGCAAATTAAAACCACAGTGAGACACCATCTCACACTAGTCAGAATGGCTATAATTAAAAAGTCAAAAGATGACATGCCAGAGAGGTTGCGGAGAAAAGGGAACACTTATACACTGTTGGTGGTAATGTAAATTAGTTCAACCATTGTGGAAAGCAGTGTGGTGATTCCTCAAAGAGCTGAAAACAGAACTACCATTCGATCCAGCAATCCCAATACTGGGTATATACTCAGAGGAATAGAAATCATTCTACCATAAGAACAAATGCAACAAATGTTCATTGCAGCACTATTCACAATAGCAAAGACATGGAATCAACCTAAATGCCCATCAGTGACAGACTGGATAAAGGCAATGTGGTACATATACACTGTGGAATACTATACAGCCGTAACAAAGAAAGAGTTCATGTCTTTTGTGGGAACATAGATGGATCTGGAGGCTCTTTTCCTAGACAAACTAACCTAGGAACAGAAAACCAAATACCTCATGTTCTCATTTATGAGTGGTAGCTAAATCATGAGAACTTATGAACACAAAGAAGGAAACAACAGACACTGGTGTCTACTTGAGGGTGGAGGGTGGGAGAAGGGAGAGGATCAGAAAAGATAACTATTGCAAACTGGGCTTAATACCTGGGTCATGAAATAATCTGTACAACAAACCCCTGTGACACGAGTTTACCTATGTAATAAACCTTCACATGTACCCCCGAACCTAAAATAAAAGTTAAAAAAAAATAGTGTCTGTTTTGTTCTTCTATTACTAACTCCATTCCGTTATGTAAATACGTACTCACACACTACCCTCATTTCAATAAATATGTTCAGATAGTGATAAAGAAGACAAAGTTGAGAGT